>NC_000010.11:51506731-51658246 GCF_000001405.40 Homo sapiens
AAGGCATTGTGGCGATTCCTCAGGATCTAGAACTAGAAATACCATTTGACCCAGCCATCCCATTACTGGGTATATACCCAAAGGATTATAAATCATGCTGCTATAAAGACATATGCACACATATGTTTATTGCAGCACTAATCACAATAGCAAAGACTTGGAACCAAGACAAATGTCCAACAATGATAGACTAGATTAAGAAAATATGACACATATTCACCATGGAATACTATGCAGCCATAAAAAAGGATTAGTTCATGTCCTTTGTAGGGACATGGATGAAGCTGGAAACCATCATTCTCAGCAAACTAGTGCAAGGACAAAACACCAAACACCACATGTTCTCACTCATAGGTGGGAATTGAACAATGAGAACACATGAAGACAGGAAGGGGAACATCACACACCTCGGCCTGTTGTGGAGTAGGGGGAGGGGGGAGGGATAGCATTAGGAGATATACCTAATGTTAAATGACAAGTTAATGGGTGTGGCACAGCAACATGGCACATGTATACATATGTAACAAACCTGCACTTTGTGCACATGTACCCTAAAACTTAAAGTATAAAAAAAAATAAAAATAAAAATAAATAAAAAAGAATTCAGAATTGGGTGAAAAAGATATGTCAGGTCTTTTTCTATTCCCAAATAGTTGGCTAAATGAGCTATCTGAAGAAAACGTGTGTGGGAATTTGTGCTTGTATTCTTGCTCATAATTCTGCTTGTGTGTATAACTCAATAATCTTAGCTAGCTGTAAAATTATTTCATATTTGGTTGGCTTGCTTTGTATCATGAGTACAGTGTTTCAGAGATGGAAAGTCCTTAGTTGCAGTTAAAGATTTTGTAAGTACCACTCCCTAGGACACTGATTAAACTTTTACACTAGGTTTGTTAAGGAGGTAATCCTTCTGCGGGTCATGAGTGACCTGGTTGAGAGAAAAGAGCTGACTGGGCACAAATCCACTTCCCACCCCAGTACTCTCCACACAGTGAAGATGACTGGAATAGCCAAACTGATGTCGATGGAGCACTTTGGAAAAGGAAGGCTAGAGCTCTTTCAATTACACCATCGAAGATGTTCTCCCTGACCATTAAATGCTTTTGACAGTTTCCATGTCTATAGCTTACAGTTTATTCTGCTTTTCTAATAATGAACTCTTCTTTCTGTTTTAGGAAATACAAAGGTAAACAGTTAAACATGTGTAATTTTTTTTAAACTTAAATAACTCCATGTCTAAAACAAGGAATTGTGAATATACTATTGAGAGACAGCAATTTAATGATTAAGTGTATGGGCTGTGGAGTCTGATAGTCCAGATTCAAGTCCTAGCTTTGTCATTTACTGTGTGACTTTATGTTACCTCATCTGTAAAATGCAGATGACTTATAGATACCCCATAGAGCTAGAACAAAGATTAAATGAGACGGTACATGTAAAGCATTTAAACAGGACCTGGCAAAGTGTTAATGCTCAAGAAAGTTAGTTATTGATATTGTCAGTATAAATGTATCACAAGAAGTGCAATTGCCACACAATATACCTATTTATCATTAGGTTTTACTTTCTATGTGAAAGAATATACGCATGGTCTGCCTTGGTAATTAGGGACTTTCATGATAATATTTTTAAAAATAACTACAGTTACTTAAGCTGGAAAGAACCCTGGGCAAGGGTGTGGCTATGCCATGCATTAATGACAAACTATCAAGGAATATGTGCAGCATTCTATTAATTTTAATGGCATAGATATATAAAATTAGCAGATTGCCTTGAAATATTTTTTAAAGCAGTCACTTTTATCTTGTGAGAATGACTTTTTTTAAAAAAAAAACCTTAAATCTTTTGCTACAGCCAAATAATCTAATCACTCTTGTGGATATGGCCAACAGACATAAATTTTTCTCATAATAGATCTTTCTCAAATGACAGAAAACTGTCTCAGTACTTCCATACTGCTATTATTTTAGCTCTCTTCATTCCCTTCCAATTCTGTTCTGTTAATTCAATGTGATTGAAAAGCATTGACATTTATTCTTACAGATCTCTTTACCCAAACTGACCAAATTAGAAGGCATTTAATCTACCTTGTATAAAAGTGGAAGCAATAGAAGGGGGAAATGAGTTGTTTTTAAATCCCATTTTATTATTACATTATTACAACGGTATTGCTATTAGCTATATTGATCACAGCTGACTTCATGGCTGTGTGTTGACCACAAAATGTAATCTAAAGGGCATTTCAGATTTCAAATGACTTTCTAGAGTATCTGAGTTAAAATTGTTAACACTACATGACAACTGCTATTATTTCAGTGTCAGCCAAATATAAAAGAACATTAATATTCATTAGTAATGTTACAGCTGGTGACTCCTTAACAACATTGTAATGATTTGAATAGTTATTTCAAACAGTGTGTTGGAATATACACACAATAAGCCCTGATTGACACAATGCATTAAAAAACAACCCAGTAATGTCAAGGAAAAAAATTAATATGTATGCCTGTATATTAGGCTAAGTAACTAAATGCTTTAGAAATACACTTCAGCTGATAAGACCTACCAGTATGCAAGGAGTGACTAATTTTTGAATGTGTTACATGGGGGAATCATCATGGTAAATATCTGAAACACAAATTCAAGTCTCAATTTTATCACTTAAGTTCAATGTCACTGTTTTCATTTCTACAAATTAAGCTTTGTGTCATTAACGTATCTGTAGAGGTAGTGGTAAGGATAAAAACAGGACAAATTTAAGGTTGGTAGCAGAGGTTATAAAATAGCACTAATATCTCTTTTCTTTTTTATTTTTTCATTCATGTGTAGAGATGGGGTCTCACTCTGTTGAGCAAGCTGGTCTCAAACTTTGGGGCTTAAGCAATCCTCCTGCCTCAGCCTCCCAAAAGGCTGGATTACAGGCAGGAGCCTAGCCAGCAGTAATATCTTCTGAATACCTAATATGGTCCACACACGATGTTGGGGTTTTGTATATGCTGTATCATCTCATTAGGGAGGTGGCTTCATCTCCATTTTATACATGAGTAAACCAAAGGCAAAACAGGTGCACATGACTGAACAATGTGAAATCCTAGTGTTAGGATTAAAGTCCAAGTGTGGATATCCTTTGAAATATAACAAGATGCTTCTGGAGTTTGTTCAAGATGATGCACTGTGGTGAGTGTTATTGGGGTTGAAGTTGGGTGGGAGACCTAGAACCTGCTTTTAAGGAATTTCTCATCTCACTGAGATGATAAGACTGAGATGCAGGAAGCATTTAATATGGAAGTCCATAGATCAATTGACAGCAACAGCATAATAAGAGCATTTATTCTTTGTGTTCTGAAAAAGTTAAGTTATACCAACCTCCCTTTCCTTTCACTGCTTTTTTGTAAACGTGATCTGTGAGGAAGAAAAATTGACCTTTCCTCATTCTATTTTTTTAGGAATTTACCAATAATATTATTTTAATTTTGATTGGCAAATAAATATAGTATATATTTACCTGTACAACATAATGTTTGTATATGTATATGCATAGTGAAATGATTCATCTGAACTAATTAAATATGTATAACTTCATATTTCTACGTTTTCCTTGGTGATGAGAACATTTAAAATCTACTCTCTTAGCAAATTTCAAAATACAATGCATTACAGATATTGTGGATTTGGTTCCAGACCATTGCAATGAAGCGAGTCATATGAAATGTTGCTTTCTCAGCACATAATGAAAGTTATGTTTATACTTACCAAAAGTATTATAGGTTCTTAACTTTTAAAGTATAATTTTCTTGACTTTCTAAACAGGTCTACAATTTTAATTATTTTCTTCAAGAAATGATCTGAATTATCAAATTTTGAGAATATTGTACATTTTAAAATAAAACTAATTTTGTATTTCCTATATGATTAGAGAGGTCACTAGTAAATAATCATTGCATATGTATATACACTAGAATACTAATGAAAAAATGAGTTAAATATTATATGCCTTTCCCTGCATTGTACTATTTTTTTTTTTTTTTTTGAGACAGAGTCTTGCTGTGTCGCCCAAGCTGGAGTGCAGTGGTGCAATCTCGGCTCACTGCAACCTCTGCCTCCCAGGTTGAAGCAATTCTCCTGCCTCAGCCTCCCAAGTAGCTGGGACTACAGGCGCCCACCACCACACCAGCTTATTTTTTTTTTTTTTTGTATTTTTAGTAGAGACGGGGTTTTTACTATGCTGGCCAGGCTGGTCTTGAACTTTTGACCTTGTGATCCGCCCACCTCAGCCTCCCAAAGTGCTGGGATTACAGGCGTGAGCCGCTGCGCCTGGCCTGTATTGTACTATTTGTAACAGAAATTTTTAAGTGTTTCATTATATAGTTTAAAAATGAGCTGAAATATACTATTTAGTATACAATAATGCAATCTTTGGACACAAGATGTTGCTAGACTCCTATAACATTTACGACATTCACTCTTCTTGGATAAAATAAGGCTTGTTGCGGGGGATCAGGCCTGAATGCATCATCAAATATACACCAAGATTCAGGAATTTATGAAACACCCAGCTAATTCCACTGGATTTTACTGATCAAAAACACAACTTAAAGGAAAGACTGAAACATTAGACTACATTAAAATTAAGGACTTCTATTATCAGAAGTCACAATTAAAATGAAGGTACAACCCACAGATTGGGAGGAGCTATTTGAGTGACTTACTTCCCACAAAGGATCATATACAGAATATTTAATGAAGCCCTGCAAGTTGGTATATGAAAATGATAATATGATACAAATGAACAATAAACTTGAGTAAATACTCATAAAAAAAGAATATCCATATGCTCAGTTAACATATGAAATGTGGGTTAACCTTATTAGTCATAGTGGAAATGTATATTAAACTTATAATGAAATATCAGTAACACTACAATGGTTAAAATGAGAAAGACTGGCTCTACCAACTGCTGGTGAGCCACTGGAACTCACATCCATTGCTTAGGAGAATGTAAATTGTTACCCTCTCTTTTAGAAGCCATTTGGCAGTATCTATTAAAGCTGAACACATACCAACAGAAATGCATATAGGTAGCAACGATCATAGTCAAGAATATTCAAAGCATATCTGTTTATAATAGTCATAAAGTAGAAACAATTCAAATCAGTGATGGTCGAATATATAAATTAACTGTGGTGTATTCATACACTGAAATACTGCACAGCAATGAAAATAAGCAAATTGCTATGCATGACAACTCAAATGAACTAAAAAATAGATATTGAGCAAAACTGTCAGTCATAAAATAGTATATGTCATGTGATTCCATTTATACAAAGTACCAACATTGGCAAAACTATAATCCAGTAGTCAGAATAGGAGTTATTTTCTTTGGGAAAGAGGGTGGTGGTAGGACTGTGAGGGGACACAGAGAGTACTTCTCTCATTCTAATTAATTTTTTTTTTTTTTTTAGTTTTTTTTTTTTTATTATACTTTAAGTTTTAGGGTACATGTGCACATTGTGCAGGTTAGTTACATATGTATACATGTGCCATGCTGGTGTGCTGCACCCATTAACTCGTCATTTAGCATTAGATATATCTCCCAATGCTATCCCTCCCCCCTCCCCCCACCCCACCACAGTCTCCAGAGTGTGATATTCCCCTTCCTGTGTCCATGTGATCTCATTGTTCAATTTCCACCTATGAGTGAGAATATGCGGTGTTTGGTTTTTTGTTCTTGCGATAGTTTACTGAGAATGATGGTTTCCAATTTCATCCATGTCCCTACAAAGGACATGAACTCATCATTTTTTATGGCTGCATAGTATTCCATGGTGTATATGTGCCACATTTTCTTAATCCAGTCTATCATTGTTGGACATTTGGGTTGGTTCCAAGTCTTTGCTATTGTGAATAATGCCACAATAAACATACGTGTGCATGTGTCTTTATAGCAGCATGATTTATAGTCCTTTGGGTATATACCCAGTAATGGGATGGCTGGGTCAAATGGTATTTCTAGTTCTAGATCCCTGAGGAATCGCCACACTGACTTCCACAATGGTTGAACTAGTTTACAGTCCCACCAACAGTGTAAGAGTGTTCCTATTTCTCCACATCCTCTCCAGCACCTGTTGTTTCCTGACTTTTTAATGATTGCCATTCTAACTGGTGTGAGATGATAACTCATAGTGGTTTTGATTTGCATTTCTCTGATAGCCAGTGATGATGAGCATTTTTTCATGTATTTTTTGGCTGCATAAATGTCTTCTTTTGAGAAGTGTCTGTTCATGTCCTTCGCCCACTTTTTGATGGGGTTGTTTGTTTTTTTCTTGTAAATTTGTTTGAGTTCATTGTAGATTCTGGATATTAGCCCCCATCTCATGTGCAGAGACACACATAGGCTCAAAATAAAAGGATGGAGGAAGATCTACCAAGCAAATGGAAAACAAAAAAAGGCAGGGGTTGCAATCCTAGTCTCTGATAAAACAGACTTTAAACCAACAAAGATCAAAAGAGACAAAGAAGGCCATTACATAATGGTAAAGGGATCAATTCAACAAGAGGAGCTAACTATCCTAAATATATATGCACCCAATACAGGAGCACCCAGAGTCATAAAGCAAGTCCTGAGTGACCTACAAAGAGACTTAGACTCCCACACATTAATAATGGGAGACTTTAACACCCCACTGTCAACATTAGACAGATCAACGAGACAGAAAGTCAACAAGGATACCCAGGAATTGAACTCAGCGCTGCACCAAGCGGACCTAATAGACATCTACAGAACTCTCCACCTCAAATCAACAGAATATACATTTTTTTCAGCACCACACCACACCTATTCCAAAATTGACCACATACTTGGAAGTAAAGCTCTCCTCAGCAAATGTAAAAGAACAGAAATTATAACAAACTATCTCTCAGACCACAGTGCAATCAAACTAGAGCTCAGGATTAAGAATCTCACTCAAAGCCGCTCAACTACATGGAAACTGAACAACCTGCTCCTGAATGACTACTGGGTACATAACGAAATGAAGGCAGAAATAAAGATGTTCTTTGAAACCAACGAGAACAAAGACACAACATACCAGAATCTCTGGGACGCATTCAAAGCAGTGTGTAGAGGGAAATTTATAGCACTAAATGCCCACAAGAGAAAGCAGGAAAGATCCAAAATTGACACCCTAACATCACAATTAAAAGAACTAGAAAAGCAAGAACAAACACATTCAAAAGCTAGCAGAAGGCAAGAAAGAACCAAGATCAGAGCAGAACTGAAGGAAATAGAGACACAAAAAACCCTTCAAAAAATCAATGAATCCAGGAGCTGGTTTTTTGAAAGGATCAACAAAATTGATAGACCGCTAGCAAGACTAATAAAGAAAAAAAGAGAGAAGAATCAAATAGACACAATAAAAAATGATAAAGGGGATATCACCACCGATCCCACAGAAATACAAACTACCATCAGAGAATACTACAAACACCTCTATGCAAATAAACTAGAAAATCTAGAAGAAATGGATACATTCCTCGACACATACACTCTAATTAATTTTTATTTCTTTGTCTGGGTCGTGGTTATACTAGTGTGTTCACTATCTGAAAATTTCTTGAGCTTTATACTTAAATGTGTACCCTTTGTGTGAATGACCTGCTTTTAAAAAGTCCTTATTAAAAAAACAATTGATCACAAAAAGAATAAAAGTAAGGATGTGACTCCAGGGTCACCACCTAAGTAAGATATTGATTAGCCTCCCTGTAGCTCAAAGAAAGGCAGGGAGTTTATTCCAAACTTAAAGGCAAAGCATGGTAAATATGCTTCTTAAAAGCCATGATGTGGCTTCCAAAGACTTGAAGTCAGTCTGAATCTGTAGAATATCAAATTATGTGGCAAGGTGGCAAGTGCTGATGCCACAGCTGCGAGGCATGTACCGAAGTCAATAAGGAGAAGGGTGACCTGCTTTAACAGATTTTAAATCTAGATGAATCTGGACTGTTTCAGGAAGAGATGGTCAAGAGTTGTACATCACAAAGGGATGAGTGTTTCCAGGTTTTCAGTCTTCAGAAGACTGACTCAAACTTTTATTGCTGGGAATTTATCCAAAGACTTAAGTCTAGGCACTGCAGACTTTTACATAAATCTGAGTTTCTCGGCCTCAGCACTGTGAACATTTTGGGCCAGATAATTCTTTGCTGTGAGAGGCTGTCCTGTGCATTGTGGGATGTTTAACAGCATCCCTGACCTCTACCCAACAGATGTCAGTAGTATCCTTCCCCCAGTTGTGACAAGTAAAGTTGTCTCTAGATATTGGCAAATGCTTCCTGGGAAGTAAAACTGACACCCTGCCTCCCATGAGACAAGTTGGAATAAATCGATTTATATAAATAAGTAAAATAAATAACTTTAGGTTTATACTCAATTATATATATTTTATAAAGGCATATAAAGTATTTAGGTTACATTAACAACCAAGAAAGACAAAATAGGGAATCAGCAGTTTTATTTCGTTCACAAGTCATTCAAAGACAATACCATTTATAGTACTGACACCCTTACTTATTACTAATAGACCTAAATTATTCTCAAATTTTAGGTGGATCATTTTTATCGATAAAGAATGAGAATGATCAGCATAAATGGGCAAAAGTCTGATGACAAGTTGCAGCATGGATAGTGTGGTATATCCAAATAATATAATTCATGGTTGTGTCTAGTAGTAAAATCAGAATGAGACACGTGAAATCTTAGTACTATTCAACCTGAAAATTTTTTGCTCATTTGTATGAAATTAGCGGCTACAGTAAAATTCCTGTTTATCTGCTTGTTTCAAAATGACTTGACCTGGAATTTCAAGCATGTTACTAAATTGTCCTTACCTTTCTCCTCCTCTGTTGAATTTTAATATTGCCATTTTTCGTCACAGTCTTTTGCTTAGCCCAATTCTTCACACACAATGAGTACCCAATCAAGTTCCAATCAACGCAGGATATTTTCTTGACTCCTTTGTGAAACTCGCAACAGGGGTCCCCTGTTTATTTAGCCTGGCCCACTCAACCCCTTGCAGGAGGGAGTACAGGAGCAAATGAGGGCAGGAACCGGCCGACCACTTTGGTGCCTGCAGGAGCAAACTCCATGTGGGCCCCGTGGCAGTGTCCAGGTGGGATGCTAAGGCCCCGGAGGGTGTGTTAAAATGCTCTCTTAGCTCCACTGTCCACAGACAGCATTGTGTTATCAGCTCAGTGGGCCCTTTGCCTTGTCATGTGGGGCAGCTGCCTTCTGCCAGGGAGGTCAAAGGGCCAGTGTGACAGTCTTTTTGGGTACCTGCACTTGGTGCAACCTGAATTCTTGTCTGGTGCCCAAGAGGAATGGGGTCACGTGGATGAATTGAAGGACGGTGAATGCAGAGAATTTTATTGATCTGTGAAAGTGGCTCTCAGGAGAGAAGGGAGCTGGAATGCTGGAATGGGGATGGGAAGGGAAGGTCGCTCTCCCCTGAAGTCAAGCCACCTCTCTGCCTCTCTCTTCTGAAGCCAGGTTGCCTCTTTCCAATGTCTAGCTGCTGTCTCCGAAGTCAAGTTGCCTCTCCTCAATGTCTAGCCATTTCTCCTCTCTACTGAACCTGCAGTCTTTATAGGCACAGGATGGGAGGTGGAGTGGGCCATAGACTGTTTTGGAAAAGAAAACATTCAATTGGAAAAAAAAAAATTCAAAAAGAACAATCGGGAGAGAGCAGGCACACAGGGATAGAAGTTCCCACTTTGGGCCATGGGTTTCAAGCTTTTTGGCTTGAAGGTGGGGTTTTGCCAGGGACCCACTGCTTTCTGCCTAGAATTTCTCTGCCTCCTGTCGCTATCACAGTGACACTGCATTATGGAAGGATAAATAAGAAGGAAAAAGACACAAAGGAATGAATACCTGGTGGGTACAGACTGGGTCTTGGGACTGAAACACCTTCTAGCTGCAAATTTTGTCAAGTCAATGAAGACCTGTGTTGACTATGCTGATGTGACAATTTTTTCAACAAATGATTTTTGACTTTCCATTATGAGCTCAGTGCCCTTCCAAGCACTGGAAATATAGGATGAATAAAACAGAAGAGGTTTGTACATTCGTTGAGCTTATATTTTAGTGGGGGAGGTAGGCAATAAACAAATATACAAAAATAAGTTATGAGCTGAGAAAAGAACCATAGGAAGAACTATTGAAGAAAATTAAGGAACCTATTTTATAGAAAGGAGAATCACAAAAATTCTCTCTGAGGAGAGATTGTATAAATTGTAAGGTGGAAAAAAATACTGTTTTTTTCTACCCTCCTAGGTTCTACAGCTAAAGCCCTATAAATTAGACTGACAAATGACAAATTAAGAAGAGAAAAGCATGCAAAAGAATGTAAGTTTTACACAACACAGGAGACTTTCTAAGGAAACGAAGATCAGAAGAAACAGTTACAACTGAATGTTTTTACACAAGGTTTGATAAAGAGTGGAAAGTTGAGAAATGTGGTAGGACAAATGGGTTTGAACTAAGAGCAGTAAACTGGGAAAAATTTAGCTAGACCTATTTGTTCAGGTTCCTCTCAGTGGCCTTCTGCCTTCAGAGATAAGTGTTTCTCTTTCTTCTGGGTATGGGAAAGGAACCTCTAGGGTAGTAGCAGTGGAGATAGAGAATAAACATTAAGGAATGTGTACCTGAGGGGGTGTCAACAACACTTGCTGATGACCTGGATCTGGGGATTGCGGGACAGCAGGCGTCAAGGATGACTTCTAAGGTTTAGCTTAATCTGATAGTGGTGCCATTCCCCAAGATTGACAAGACAGAAAGATCAGAAAGGCATTGACATTTTCCATCTTCTTCTGTCTTCGTGAACATGCAAATCAGTTATTTAAAGTCTGTGTCTTATGACTGTAGTGTTTGGCCCACTTATAGGTCTATTTCTATAATTTATTTTTTTCACTTGGGCTTGTTTCCTGGCATGCCTAATAATATTTTATTAGATTTTGACTAATGTATATGGGAACACTGAAAAAGTTCTAGTGAATGTTTTCTTCCTCCAGAGAGGATTTTCATTTTCATCCAGAAGGCTGTTAGAGAAAGAACAGGTCAGTCTAACCCAGCTAGGGATTGAGCTGACTCAGGCCTGGGTTTCCATTTTCATAAGTTCTGATCTATTTCTGTTTCACCTTTATTCTCATGATGCAGCCCTAAGGAACCTCTGGTTAAAGTCTGGCATGTGTGCAAGGGTTACTTCCTACTTAACAGGACCTGGAATCTTTGTTTTTTTGAGACAAAGTCTTACTCTGTGCCCCAGACTAGAATGCAGTGGCGCCATCTTGGCTCACTGCAACTCTGCCTCCCAAGTTCAAGCAATTCTCCTGTCTCAGCCTCCCGAGTAGCTGGGATTACAGGTGTGCACCACCACACTCGGCTAATTTTTGTATTTTTTGTAGAGATGGGGTTTCACCATGTTGGCCAGGCTGGTCTCGAACTCCTGGCCTCAGGTGATCCACCCTCCTCAGCCTCCTAAAATGCTGGGATTACAGGTGTGAGCCACCATGCCCCGCATGGATTCTAATTTCTGTCTTCTTGAAATTGTGAGATGGCCTAAGATTCTTCTAATTTCTTAGTCTTTAGCCCCAATTTTCTGCTGCTTGTTCAATTTAGGATTATCAAACCACACAATGTCAGGCTCACTTATCTCTGCTTTCCTTCTCTTCTGGGTCTAGAGTCTTCAACATGAGACTCTCTTGTAGCATTGACATCCTGTTAGCATAGTCTGACTTGTCTCTTAAATAGTTTGCTCCATTATCTTCAATATAAAACATGCATTGGAGAGGTAGCATATAGAGCTGAGAATCCGGGAAAACAGATCCTTTAAATTGCCACATTCCAGTGGGAGATAATGAGGACCTGAAGTAGGGCAATGAGCTTAAAATGCAGAAGAGGAAATAGAAGCAAGAAATACTTAGGGGGTGGATTTGAAATGATGGCAAATGGAAAATTTAGCTGTCAGTATCGCTTAAATATTATTTCTGTGTCAAAATAAGAATGACATATTGGCTCATTAATTCTGTGTTCCTCATAATTTTAAAGGCTGGTCAAGAATGACTGGTTGCCAAACAATATAATCTACTCTTTGAAATTTCTCATGGTTCTGCTATTATTCTTAGCTATAAGGATTTGAAGGGGAAATGTATTTTAATCTGCTTTCATTGTTCAAAATAAGAACTTGCTTAAGTTAGAGCCTTTATGTGAGTGATCATTTTGAAGGAAGCCATGTGCTCTGTAATTCAGAAAGCATCGAAAATATTTAAAACCAATCTTCCATTATTATTCAGATAACAATATTTTATGGAAGAAGTTTGAATCATTCAACTTGAAGAAACACTGAGCTGGGTTGGTAATATACATCATTTAACAATGCATTTGATATGTGGCATTTTTTCTAAATAAATAATATTATAAGAGGTAGAAGAGTGATTATTTTTAGTGCCTGCTATAGAACCAGGAACCCAATGGTGACTGCTGTAATTACATTCTCATTTAACCTTTTCAACAACCTATAAGTAAGGTAGATATTTCCCATATTTTATAGAGCCAAGTCTCAAAAATTTGGGATAACTTGCTGAAATCATGCAATTAGTAAATGGCAAAACCAGGACTGAAAACTCATTCCATTTTGTTCTATTCCATCTTCTCCTCTTAAGGTACAACAAATCTAAGAACTTTCTTACATTTTGAGAAACACTTGGAAAAAAACATGAGGGGGGAAATCTGGGCCAGAATTTTAGATTTATTTAAAGAAAACTTTTCATTACTCAATAAAATAAAAATAATCTCAATTAAATTCTCCAAGTCGAGCAATATTTTTACTCATGAGAGTAGAATGCTGCTCATTCTCTTATTAACTTGAATCCTGAGGCATCTCATTATATATTTTCTAAATTCTTAAGTATGATCTCATCCCCTGAAAGTTTAGTGTACCTATTGTCATCATTTATATAGGAACAGCAAAACCAGCTATTCAAAAATAACTCAATCACCTTTCTTTTATTTTTTTCCTGAACTGGGACATTCTACTTCATGCGACAGCTAAATTAGCAGAAACCTGACCCAGATGATACAATGACTAGATGAGTTCACAGCTGGCTGTAATCTTATCTCAGAAAGAAACAGGAAATTTACCAGTTACTGTATTTCTACTCTGTTCTAGGCACTTAGTATTTAACTATCTCATTTAATTTTTACAACAAACCTATAAGGTGCATGCTATATTTATAGATGATTTAGTTGATATCCAGAGAAGTCAAATGACTTGCCTACTATATTAACAAATCCTGGTAAGGAGTAGTTCATTCTCAAACTAATGGTAAAATCTTTTGAGCCTAAAGAACTCCAATATCTTGGTTAACATAGATTTAGACAAGTCACTAGTGAGACACTGTACTGAATTTTTAATACTACATTATTTATATAATATATACAAATTAAATGTATATTGTGTATATACATATATGGATATACATATAGAGTTATATATATGCATATATATGAAATATATATTAAATTAAATAGTTGGCTTTTGCAATACATATTACATATTTTTATATATTATATGTATATTTAAATTATATAGGATAATGAATGTAAAATAGAATGAAGACTCTAGATTATATAAAGTATAAATTAATCTCTAAATTTCATCAACATGGGAGAAACAATCACTACGCCAGTCTGTAAATTGCATGAGGAACGCAGGGCAGTCTGTACTGTATACAGTTATCATCAATGTCTAGCAGAGTGCCTGACACAAAAATGCATAATAAACATTTTTAGATGAACAAATAATTGATATGATTAAAACCCAAGCAAAACTCCCAGATTATCTAGAAATTCACAATGATAGCTAGAGGAAACCTGGTATCCAAAGAAAAGAAAGTTGGAAATAAATTAAATAATATAGATAATACTCTACAATCCTATGAATGATTTTTGCATATTGACCTCATGTTTTTCATATTCATGAAATAGCCGGCAAAAAGAATTAGAGGGAATTGTAGAATGAATTATGTCATACATGGAAGAATTTTCTGTACATTGAAAGTGGTTAGTACTTGGATGTATTACTTATGAAAAACATGCAGTCTTCTTTAGACATATATAAAATTAGGGGAAGATATTTCAACTTAGGCTAGTTTAAGGAGGTTTTAATCAGAAGCTCAGTGTGTATAAGGAAGGACCGCACTTGGTTTGCTGATTATTAAAACTGCAGTGCCTCCTGGGCATGGTGGCTCACGCCTGTAATCCCAGCACTGGGAGGCCAAGGCGGGTGGATCACCTAGGTCGGGGTTCAAAACCAGCCTGGCCAACATGGGGAAACCCTGTCTCTACTAAAAATACAAAAATTAGCTGAGAGTGGTGGCATGTGCCTGTAGTCCCAGCTACTCAAGGAGGCCGAGGCAGGAGAATCGCTTGAACCCAGGAGGCGGAGGTTGCAGTGAGGAAAGATTGTGCCACTCCAGTTTCCAGTCTGGGTGACAGAGCGAGACTCTGTCTCAAAAAAACAAAAAACTACAGTGCCTAGAATATTGTCCGACACATAGCAGTTACTTACTATATAGTAAATAAATAATTGAAAATAAACTAAGAAAATAAATGTTCCCAAAAATGCCTTTCAACCCTGTGATTTATATGAAAGGTGAAGGCTGTTAAATTTTGTGCATTGGATTTTGACTAAACTGTTGGGCCACATGAGTTGTATTTAAAATTAATTGCTGAAAATACCTAGGATTAAGCACTGAGTCTACTCTCTACTGGCCCAAAATACACTTTAAAACAATACAGAACGTAGCCAAGGGAAAATAACACTTCTGAACTAAGCTTTAACCTTTACTCAGCTGATTTAGTTCACTTCTCTTTGCCTTTAATTTTTTTCCATGAGAATTCTAATTGTACAAATAGCTTTAGCATCTGTAAAGTGGCAAAGATCAATTAGAGAGATCTATAAAATACTTTGAGCTTCATGAAGAAGAATTGTCTATAAATAGAACTTGGCACGTAATTAGTCATTTCAGTACTGTAAATGAAAGTCGTGTGAATAATTTTTTTAAGTTTCTCTTTTTATACTCTTCTGCATTTAACATAAGGCTGTGAAATCCTTTAGGGCACTTTAATATGCAAAATGCCACAACTTCTTTTTTCTTTGTAATCATTTAATTAATATACTTCTAATACAGCATGGGAGTCAGAAAAATCAGCTTATAGCCAACAAATTGAGCCTTAAGAGAAAGGAATTTTCAATCCCTTTTTGGATTATTATTTTCAGATATTCCTAGTTGGATCCACTGCTTTTAAAAAGATCAGAAGAATTCATGGCTGTATTTGTTAATTCTGTAGGTCTAGGGCAATGAGTAATTCCGGGAAATATTTAAATTTCACATTAGTATATAACCATTAAGCTTTGGGAAATGTTAATATGACATTGAAGACCATGTAGAATATGATCATGTTTTGTGTTTGACACATTTTCCCAAATTGGGAGTATTTCCTTTTCCTTTTTCCCAACAAAACTTTACAACCATCACATAGGTATTCAGGCAGACCAATCATAAAATAGCAGAGAAAATTTAACTTTGCTTTTGAATAGTTTAGAGGGCTGTGATTGAAGACGTTGCTTGGTAATGAAATTGATTTTCCACCTTCATTGTGGGAATTAGATTAAGAAGAAAGCAGTCTGGTGAGATAAGAATAACTCAGTCTGATTCTTCCAAGTATATATTAATAATTTTGTGTGGCCTTTGCTACCATCTTTAACATTTTCATCATGTTCAAATACTTCCTTCTTAAATGATGTTTTGGGGACAGTGAGGGGTGTATGTGAATGAGGGTGTGTAGAAATCAGGTGAAAATAATAAAAATGTGTTCATTGTGAATCAGTTTAAGTCTGAGATTTCACTTTAATTGATTGAAATCATTTCCTTTAGCCTCATCTCCAAACAAAATATTGGTACAATGAAAAATCTACCTGCTTTTTTTTAAAGAATATTATGTCAGTGTCAATCATAGGCAATTCTGAAATGTGTTGTTGCTAAGATGATACATTCTTACTCATATTATTTACTTAGAGACTTTAATGCTCTTAAGGTGTGAAGGCTTTTAGATTATTACTGTATTTATTAAAAACCAAGGGAGACAACAAATTACTTGGGTCCTTACAGTCTTATTTAAGTGATCCTATCCTTTATTGATACATTTGAATATTCAAAACAATGTCCTTATTGTGAAATATTTCTGAACAGTTTTGTCCGGTAACTCTGTCCACGGTGTTAGGATTTCTTCAGATTATGCAACACCAGATACTGCGAGGTTGAAGATGATTTTTTTTTTAACATGGCAGTTGCTTAGATGTCTTTAAAATAGCAATGTTAGGAATCAGAGGGTGAGATTCAGCATTTCAATCAACATGGCAACAATTCTGCAGTCATTTTGTCAAGGGACCCTGTGCTTGCTTGGGGAGCATCTCTACTTGTCAAAACAGTGACTTCTCTACCTCAATCTCTGTGAGTCCATGAGAACGGTAATAAGATGGCTGTGTCCATGATTTTTGCAGTTCAGCTCAGGAAATGTATTTTCTATTTAAGTTGGTTAGTCCATACTAAGCAGTCCTCCAATACATTATCTCATTGAACATACAGCAAATTTGTTAAGTTGTTGACAAAGTCTACAAACATGAAGCCCAGTGCTTCATGACCTAGTTATGACCTAGTTAACTTCAGTGTCTCTAGGATAATATTTTTTACTGTTTCTCTCTTAACAAATTTTCTCCATAATTAGTTATAAAACTAGAAAGGATCATGGTGACAATCTAACTTTATCCTTATTTGTTTTATAGACCAACAGAGGCCCCTAGAGGCTCTGTCTCTCTTAAGATTATGGACATAGCTAAAACTACTGACAAAGCAGAACTGCCATCAGATCTGGCCTCTGCTTTCTCTAAATTGGGCAAATCTGAGATGCATGTTATTAGCTCAAAGCATTAAAGTGGAAAATAAACACACATAACACACAATGATCACTTTGCAATTGTCTTCTAATAATGATTTCCATAGTTTAAACATTTATGTCATGTTTTTAATTTGATAATTGATATGGTTTGGATCTATATGCCCACCCAAATTTCGTAACCAAGTATAATCCCCAAAGCTGGAGATGGGGCCTGGCGGGTGATTGCATTATGGGGGTGCATCCTTTATGAATGGTTTAGCATCATCCTCTCTGGGCTGTTCTCGTGATAGTGAGTTCTCAAGAGGTCTGGTTGTTTAGAAGTTTGTGGCACCTCTCCCCTGGTTCTCTTTCTTGTCCTTGCTCCTGCTATAGAAGACTCCTGCTTCTGCTTTGCATTCCACCATGGGTAAAAGCTCTGAGGCCCCCTCAGAAGCTGAGGCTGTCATGTTCCTGTACAGCCTGTGGAACCATGAGTCAATTAAACATCTTTTCTTTATTATGCAATCTCACGTATTTGTTTATGGCAATCTGAGAATGAACCAATGCAGTCATTATACAGGAAACTGATCATCATCTGGGAAAAATGGTGATTTAAGCCAGGGGTTGGCAAACTTTTGCTAAAAGGACCAAATAGTAAAAACTGTAGGTTTTGTAGTAGTCTCTGTTGGAACTATTCAAAACTGCCATTCTTGGACAAAAACACCATAGATAATACATAAATGAAGGGGTATGTCTGTGTAGCAATAAAAGTGAAATTTCAATTTTACATAATTTTTGTGTGTCACAGGGCATTATTCTTTTGATTTTTTTCAGCCATCTAATACATGTACAATTTATCCTTAGCTCTTGTGCCATACAAACACAGGCAAGTTACTGGAGTTGTCCCACGGCCATGTTTTGCTGACCTCTGATTTAAGCCCACAATTCCATTCTGCCATTTCTGCCCCTGTGTATGTTTCCTCACAAGTGTGGGTGATGTATAAACATTTGTAGAAGGTGAGTCTAAAATGAATAGGGATGATAAAGGAAGTGCTTTGACTATGCTCAATATACTAACACTATGTTTTCTCTTAACAGATTCCTACTTAAAATACTTTTTTGGTACGAAGGCTCACACAAAAGCTGCTCGTTATTTTTCAACCATTAACTTTTGTTTTCCAATTACATTTTTAATGAACAGTTTTTTCAAGAATGCCTATTTAAAATAATGTCATTAAATGGGAGAAAATAGGTTCATATTTAATTGAATTTGTTTTGTGCCAAGTAAACAAGAACAATGTTCCCTAAGGGCTTTAAGCAGATTCAAGAAACATATCTGAATCACCTATAATCAGTATAAAGCACATCACACAAAGGATGAGAGAATGTGGTGCATGTGCACACGAGAGAGACAGAGACAGAGAGAGAGAGAGAAGGAGGAGGAGGAGGAAGAGAAGGAAGAGGAGGAGGGAGAGTAGGAGGAGGAAGAGAAGAAAGGGAAGGAAAGAAAAGAAGAAAGGGAAGGAAAGAAAAGAAGAAAGGGAAGGAAGGAAAAAAAGGAAGGAAGGAAGGAAGGAAAACCTTAACATCTAGAATTTTAGAGAACAAGAACGTGTTTATTTGAAAGTAGGCTCTAAATGTTAAGGTATCTTCCCTTGCACTTCAAAATAATATGGCGTGCATGCAATAAATAAGAAATGCAGCCGGGTGCAGTGGCTCACGCCTGTAATCCCAGCACTTTGGGAGGTCGAGGCAGGCAGATCACGAGGTCAGGAAATCGAGACCATCCTGACTAACATGGTGAAACCTTGTCTCTACTAAAAATACAAAAAATTAGCCGGGTGTGGTGGCGGGGGCCTGTAGTCCCGGCTACTCGGGAGGCTGAGGCAGGAGAATGGCGTGAACCCAGGAGGCAGAGCTTGCAGTGATCTGAGATTGCACCACTGCCCTCCAGCCTGGGCAACAGAGTGAGACTCTGTCTCAAAAAATAAAAAGAAAAAAAAGAAAAGAAATGTGCAGCTTATGAAATGATAAAATAAACTCCCATATACCTACCACCAACCTTAATGTTTAAAAATGTACTATCCAAGTAGAGTAGCCATCACTCTTAGCACTTTTTTTTTTTTTTGAGATGCAGTCTCATTCTGTCACCCAGGCTGGAGCCCAGTGGCATGACCTCAGCTCACTGCAATCTCCTCCTCCCAAGTTCAAGCGATTCTACTGCTTCAGCCTCCTGAGTAGCTAGGATTACAGCTACTCATGTCCAGCTAATTTTTGTATTTTTAGTAGAGATGGGGTTTTGCCATGTTGGCCAGGCTGATCTCGAACTCCTGACTTCAGATGATCTACCTGCCTTGGCCTCCCAAAGTGCTAGGATTACAGGTGTGAGCCACCATGCCCAGTCACTTCGCTACTATTAAACATTTAAAATGTGATTAGCTTTAATTGAGGGGTGCTATAAGAAAAACATACAAATCCAATTTTGAAGATTCAGTACCAAGAAAAGAATATAAAGGATCTCATAATAATTTTTGTATTTGTTAGATGTTGAATGATAATATTTGTATATATTGAGTTAAATATATTATTAAAATAAATTTAGCTTTAAAAATTTGGTTAGTAGAAAATTCTACTTAGATTAGTGCAAAAGTGATCATGGTATTTGCCATTAAAAGCAGCGCTAAAACCTGCAGTTACTTTTGCACCAACCTAATATATATGGTTCACATTTGTCGTGGTTCACACTTTATTTGTATTGGGGCAGAACTGATAAAGATTTCTGAGTCTACCAAGACTTTTGAGTTTTCCAATGTACCCTTCCCTAATCTCCTACTCTGAGGTAATCATTTTTAAAAAATTTAATAAGAAGTTCCTAGCTTTTTACAGTTTTATCACATACATGTATGACTCTAGATTAGGTGGTCTGCTATTTTAAAACTTTTTTAAAAATCTCATTTTATTTAGCTAACACCCTCTGTAAAAACACCAGCTCCAGTGTCTCCTTATACCTACTCCTCATTTCTGACCTTCAGATGTTTTCTTTCTCTCCTACCAGCTCGGCCATGCTTTCTAAAAAATATTCTTTTATCCAGCATTTTCAGGTGTTCTGTACTGTGAAGGACTTCTCTGTACATTAGACCCTTATTACCATATTGCCCTTGTCATCTAGTGGGAATATAATTATGTTTCACCTCCTCCATGCTCTTTGGAGCCAGGAGTTGGCAAACTTTTGCTAGAAGGACCAAATAGTAAAAATTGTAGGTTTTGTAAAACAGATAGCCTCTGTTGGAACTACTCCAAACTGCCATTTTAGACAAAAGGAGCCATAGAAAATACATACATGAAGAAACGTGGCTGTGTTCCCAATAAAACTAGAATTTGAATTTCACATAATTTTAATGTGTCACAGGATATTATATTTCTTTTGATTTTTTATCCTATGGCAAAGGTGAAACATATGACTTTATAAAGACATAGCTGAGGAATGATTGTATGAGATACTCTAAATGAATAACGAAAAAGAATAAAGGAGCAAACATTCTATATTATAATAAAATATAATTCTGTATATATAATAACATAGATATTATGCAGCCATAATATTAGATTTGAGATGATAAAATGTAAACATGTACAAATAATTAAACTAGATAATCAAATTGTCAAATTATCTGTCTAGACATTAGGTGCTACAAGAGTACTAAAAAGAAAAAACAAAAACAAAAACAGTGGAAATGAGCTGAGCTGGATTTTGAAGCATATATAGGAATGAATAAATTGTTAGAGAAGGATAAAAGTCTATTTCAAGGGGAAAAAAAAGTATATGAGTAAGACTTGCTAACTATGAGTTTGTTAAAATGCGTAGAGTAAAATGTGATACTTTATCTTATCGTTCAGCAAAACAATATACATAGAAAAGTGTTCTAGACGTTATAGAGCGATTCAATTTTCTAGCGCTTTAAAGTCTCTTTAACTAAACATTCATGCCAAAGTTCCCGGGAATTGTAATTTAGATCCTAGCAAAGATAGCAGTAGAGTTATACAAAGTCTTTTGTTTCCTTTTCTCTAAGAAGAGTTATTTCTGTTTGAAAGAGGTCTTTAAGCTTGTATTTCAAACAACTCCCGGCAAATATCTCCCTAGTTAAGTAAATGCAGAGATAGCCAATACTAAAATTCATCTGTAAAGTGATCATACTATGAATTTAGCTCCTTCTCGGGTTGTGACTTGAAGAGTTTATGATTCAGTGTTTCCCAGTTGTGATATACTGACCATTAAAACCTTGGAAGTTGGTGTTAGGAAACCCACAGCGTGGTGGTTTATAGCTTGCCGTGCTTTGAAATATTCCCTATCATCCAATTTCAAAAGATACTTCTAAGCTCATGGGAGCAAATGTCATTACGGAGAAGCTTTCAAAATCATCTAGAGATAAAAGAGTCACTCTGCTCAAACAAGGAAAACCCACCACAACAGTGAGCTAGAGCCACTAATCTCATTGTGTTTATTTTAATCAGTACCTCCTCTCATAACAAATAATCCTGATTTTTCATTTGTGGTAGTTATGTAAAAGTTCTGGTTAAAATGTTCATTTGAATATTAGAAAGTCAGTTGATTGTAAGAAAACATTAAGTAAAAATAATGTGTGAATATGGCAAAATGTGAAGACAGCATGCTGATGACTGGGAAAAATCTGTCTAAATACACTTTTTTCCCCAAAGGAAGAATTATTTTAAAGAAAAGTTGGTAGGGCATATTTTAAGACTGTCTATCTTCTTTTGAAGGAAAATCACTTAGCTTAAGTGGAACATTAGGTTTCCTGTTTCCTGTCATAGTTTTTCTAAATTACATTCAGTACAGCAAAAAAAAAAAACAAATTCAGAGGTGAATCCCGAGTTCCTCTGTGCAAGAGAAAAGGCCTTCAAAGTTTAAACAGGCACAGCTATCCTTTCTTCTCGGGGTGGGGGGAAGACAGGGGGTGGCATAACTCTTGCAGAGGGCTAATTAAGTAAGCCCATGTGAGTTACTGCATTAACCATGCAGAGGACAGCCCCAGGTAGAGGATTCCTAACCCTTAGAAAGTAACTCAGAAGTCAATCAATCAACTAGAGAGCATTCAAGAGAATAATTAGAAGCCTTGAAACAATAGTTCCACATATCTTGTCCCCAATGTAAATGGAAATAAGGGAATTCTCCAAACAGGTCATACCTACTGATTAAAATCCATAAAAGTTCTGAGAGTGTTTCTCCTAAATGCACAGGAATTAACATGCAAAGGCAGGATAGTAGCTATCCTGAACTTTCAAATTCTAAGAAAATTCTTAGAATTTCTAAGAAAATTCAGAAACTAAGAAGATTTTTAGTTTGTCCACAACCTCCAAATCTCTTCTATCTCAGTAGATGGCACCACTATTTCCTGACTTTACTTATTTCCCTCACCTCCCATGTCCAATACACCAACAAATCCTGTTGACTTGACCTTCAAAATCTATCCCAAATCCAGCTACAATTCGTCACCTCCATGATACCAACCTATTCAAGGCCTAAGTCTCTCTGACCTACACTATTGCATTGATGTCTTTCATTCCACTCTAACCATCTTACAGGCATTTTATCCATACTGCAGCCCCAGTCACATTTAAAAAAATTAATTCAGATTTTGTTCATTGCTTGAAGCTCTTCAGTGACTTATCATCAGGCTCATATGGAAATACACACTCCTGAATTTTACCTAAGATGCTCTTCCTAAAGACTCTCTAACAATGTCACCTACCGCTCACCTGCTCACTTCTTTATAGCCAGACTCCCCATCTTTCCAATCCTTGGTAATATACTTGCCTTCCTTTCCAAAACACTCTTTTGTTGTGTCTTTGCATGGCAAATCACTCATTCCACTTAGCACTCAGGTTTCTGCACAAATGTCACTTCTTTCTTTCCTGACCCCCCTCACTGAAATAGCAATACAGACACACACACACACGCTCCTCAGTCCTCTTATTTTTCTTCAGAGCAGTATCACTACTGAAATTATCTTAGTTATTTGTTTATATAGCTGTCCTATATACTTCATCAAATTATGAAGATTTAAACAGACCTCATATGTAAAAGCACTTTATAAAGCTCTATTTAAATGTAAGGGATGGTTATTGTAGCGGAGTTTGTCACTTTATAATTCCAATCTAATGACATTATGAAACAAGTCTTTATTGATTTAATTAATTGTAATTATTCTTGTCTCCTCCTAGCCTGCTTTCTTTTTTAAGTAGCCTGGAGATGCTTGCTCTCTTTTTTAACTAGTCTGGAAGCAATTGCTGACTGGCTATTCAGTTTGCATTATTTTTTAGTACTTCCTCTTCCACATAATATTGGTATTACTTTTTCATGCATCCTTAGAATCATAGCATTTTTCTATAGTTTGCATAAGAAAAAATTTAAGCTTTATGTGTCCAGATACATATTTTCAAGTAGTTTATCAAATGTACTGACCTTTCAAATCATGTATGTCTCATAAGAATATCATTATTTATCAGGTTTCCCAGATGTTTGCAATTTTCCTGGTATCTAAACAATGTTAGCATTTTGTAAGCATGTTGTTGATTTCCTATTTTAAAATTATTAAAGGAAGAAATATCACTTCAGCTTTTCTTCATATAGCAGATATATATATTATTAAGCAGAGAGCAAATAGTGTTCTGCAACTCTCGGGTGGGCAAACATAGTGCTCACTAACTTAATTTTCCATAACAGAATTCAACTTTGTCTCAAGCACCTACCTATCCTGCCAGGCTATTCCAAATCACACTCTTGTTATTAAATCTCCTATTTTCCACATTTTGTATTGGAGCCATTTGCCCATATGAGTTTCAACTGAGGTGACCGTCATCATGGTCACCAATGCCTTTTGCTCTTTATTTTCCATATTGAAGACACAGAATCCTTTGTTGATATTTTGCCTGGGTCCCATGTGCCTTAATGCATCACACAAACTTTTCCATCTCCAGTGAGGCTGCCAGGAAGCCCACACAGCCTGCCAAGAACCGTCCCTCTCTTCTCACACACGACCTTCCACCCACCCCAAGAAATTTCCTTTTGTCTGATGGGAAACCCTTTTTCCCATGTGTTTTTGTTGAAGATGTTTGTTCTCTGTGCTGATTCTGTTTCTCTTACCAGTTCTGTAAGTGCTCTAAATCTCCTTATGGGCCCGGGGTTTGGAAACACAAAGCCAGAGTGAATTGCAATAAATTTCTATTTTCTGTCCTGCCAGATCTCTCCGTTGAGTCAGTGAGCACAGGGCCAATTTTCTGATGGAATGGGGGTAAGAAGAAATCATAAATACAAAGAGGAGAAAAACATAGGTTAATAGCACAAAATTGAAACCTCCATAATGGTTTTCAATTTTACTCCTCAGTATAAAAATCAATATAGATCACAAAAATCACAATTACTGCTGTTGAGCATCTGCCTTGTAAATGGTCCTATTATAGCCCTCAATGGTTTTACTCCTTCCTTTTTGTTTGCCTTTAAATTGAAGTATGCAATAAGCTTGTAAAAGTCACAAATTTAAAGGAACTATGGTAACTTTTTAAGATAATCTTGACGGTAACAATCAGCATTTTCATGGCACTGTATAACTGTATTCATTAAGTAACAAAATAAAACACTGAACATAATAGGTACATAATACTGAAGCTCCGGTTGTAGAATTTCTGCTTCATTGAATCTCATGTGTGGTTTCACTCTGCAGAAATAAGAATACCTGGAATAAAAAATAGAGACCTTCACCCTTTTCAAACTGACCTATTATTTTAAACTCTATATTTAATGTAATGTATATATTTTTATACTAGAGCAAAGTTGCCACTTGTCAAAGTCCTTCAAGTTTAACCTTTGTGAATAGAGACATTGTTTCGGACTACAAAAAGAATTCTTTTTTTTTTTTTTTTTTTTTTTTTTGAGACCGTCTCACTCTTGTCCTCCAGGCTGGAGTGCAATGGCACAATCTCAGCTCACTGCAACCTCCACCTCCTGGGTTCGAGTGATTCTCCTGCCTCAGCCTCCTGAGTAGCTGGGATTACAGGCTCCCGACACTGTGCCCGGCTAATTTTTGTATTTTTAGTAGACACGGGGTTTTACCATGTTGACCAGGCTGGTCTTGAACCCCTGACCTCGTGATTTGCCCGCCTTGGCCTCCCAAAGTGCTGGAATTACAGGCATGAGCTACCGTGCCCTGCCAAAGAATTTTTTTAAAAAAATGACAGTCAGGACACTCGATTTCTGCTAGTCCCAGTCTGCTAGAAAGAATGTACTTTTACAAAAACCAGTTCATCTCAATTTTGCTCACTATGTTAGCAGAGTATGTCTCACTTGTCTACTTTCTTGTTTGTTTCTTGAGCTACCTGTTACCTCTCTCAGTGAGGGAAGTTAAAGCTGCAGCAGGAGCTTGGAGAGCTTTTTCAACTGGTTGACAGCTCTTATTGTCACACCTTAGTTCATACGCTATCTATAGGCGACTATTGTTTCAGTGGGTTGTGGTTTATAAAGTGCTAACAAGGCTTGAGACATAAAGATACTATTATTTCAGGTGACACTACTTGTTATGAATCTGCAGCTTCTCACATCCCTGACTCTTGTGAAAATACTCCATATACAATTTTCCGGTCTGTTTCAGCTATATCATTTGACTTCCCTGAAGTATGGGACTTCATGAAAGCGTGATTCCCTTTCATTCCAACTCCTGATGTGATTTCCAAGTGAATTTACATTATTTTACTGTATCATTTTACATTATTTTAATATCTTAGTGAGTTTTTAAATCAGCAGTCATGCCTCAGCTGAATCTCAAGGGACATTATATGGCCACCAGGAAAAGCTAGTGCTAATTAAGTTTTTCTCTGGATTTCTCATTACTGACAAACAGCTCTTGACTTCACAAAAACACCAGTGGCTTCACAGAAGTAGCATCCAGTAGTTGGTCAATGTTATTTCTGTGGTTGCTATAACCACATAAGGCAGCTCTTTGACCCCTGAGGATCTTATCCCTGGCCATTCCTGTTTGAGTCAGGGATATACACTTTTCCCAAATTTATTGACTTTATTAAGTGGACAACCACCTAAATCAATATCTCTCTCTCCTTCTCCCTCTTTCCCCTCTCCCCTTCTCCCTTTCTTTATCCTCTCTCTTTTTTTCAAATTTGAGAGTCCATGATTGGGTATTGATGAGCAGGATAGCTTGGGGGCAAGAAACCTATTTATTAGCAATGACCTAATGTATGAGCATAGAAAGAAAAGACTGAGGAAAGCCAAAGATGGAGAACCTGACAGTTCCGAGAAAATATGACTGACCTCAACCTGTGAGGCTTTCATGTTCTCAAATGACACAGAAATGACTAATTTTCTTCTGTTGAATTTACTTGAGTTAGCCTCAGTGGATTTCTATTTCTTGCAATGGAAAGTTAATCAGTACAATTGAAACTTTAGTTTATTAAAAGTTATTTTTAAATGCATTTATCAAATATGGATTTTTCCTTTCAATAAAAGTAATAGTAGTTTTGCATTTGGCAAGGAATTTAACTTTTTCACAATTCTTTTACATCTGTTATAGCCACAGAAGATAGAACAACTGCTTTCCTCTATTTGGTAGATGAAGCAAGAGTCTGAAAAGATCAGATAATTTGCCTAAAATCTCACATAAAACTAGAGGTAGTACTGGAACTAAGTCCCTGACCCTCAAGCATTGATTGTCTTCAGTGATGGCCTGAACTTGCTTGTAACAGTTTACCAATTCTGCACCTGATATCAACTTAATTTCGTGTTCAGTTTTCAGTGACATTGTGCTGACAGCTTGAAATTAGCCATGGTGGGAGTATTTATGTCACAGAAATCAGCGAACAATTCAACTAAAAGCTTTAAAAAAAAAAAAAAAAGCCAGTTTTCAAACATTTACCACTTCCTCAAACAAACTGAATATTTTATAAAATCATTTATTATATATTCTGGAGCCAAGGGTATCCATGTATCTTTAAAGCAAAGCTGAAAACTCTTAATTTACTTTTAATTGGAACTTTACAATTTTTCACCAGGAGAGCTTCCAGTTGTGGGTGAAAACCTGTAAATTATTGCTGGAAAACAGTCTTAGAAAAGTTGTTCTGTCTTAGAATCGGAAGGTTACAAGAATTGCCAATTTTATCTAGCTTAACCGTGATATTTCACAGATGAGAGAACTAAGGGCAAGAGATGGGAAATGATTTGTCCAAAGTCACAAAGCTACGGGAAAGGAAAAGCATGATTCAAACTCGGATGATCTTCCATATAATCCAAAGTTGGGTAAAATTTATGCTTAGGAAGATCAAGGAAATAGGATTTGGGCCAAAGAAAGAAAAGAGAAGGCAGAAGTCTACAATCCTAGTAGGCTCATAAAATCCCTTATGAATAAGACTGAGAAGGGGATTATTAAAAGGGATTTCCAATACCCAATTAAAGTTGTAATTGTGCAGGTGTATTTGTTCATTAATGTATATGAACAAAGTGATGTTTCTGGTTATTAAAATATACAATCAATAAACTTACAAACTCAATTTCATGACTAATTGCTTGTCTATTAAATGCAAAAGATATTTTGCATAATGAGAAATTGCCAATATTCAACAAGGAGAAAATGAAAATGAAAGGCGGCTCTGGGCTGGGCGCGGTGGCTCACACCTGTAATCCCAGCACTTTGGGAGGCTGAGGCAGGCGGATCATGAGGTCAGGAGATCGAGACCATCCTGGCTAACATGGTGAAACCTCGTCTCTCCTAAAAATACAAAACATTAGCCGGGCGAGGTGGCGGGCTCCTGTAGTCCCAGCTACTCGGGAGCTGAGACAGGAGAATGGCGTGAACCCAGGAGGCAGAGCTTGCAGTGAGCCGAGATCACGCCACTGCACTCCAGCCTGGGCAACAGAGCGAGACTCTGTCTCAAAAAAAAAAAAAAAAGAAAGAAAGAAAGGCAGTTCTGCCCAGATCATGGTTCATGGTTGCTATTGTGTGATAAAATAGCCAAGAATGACAAGAAAAAATGTATTTATTTTAAAAATAAGTAGTGAAGAAGTGAATAACTAATTTTATCTAGGAGGATTGGTGAAATATATTACAGGTTTTTCTTGATTTAATATATTTACCCCTTCAGAATAAAACTTGGTTTGAATGGTATATTGCTCACTTTATTATACATAGATCTCTGTAAATCAATATCATGCCAACCAACAAGCAAAAAAAGTAGTTATCTGGTTTTTGTCAATATTTTAAAAAATAATTGATGTACCCTTTATGAATATGAATTATCACAGAAAAATAGAAGTTTTTTGGGAAAGGATAGGGGTACTTTGGAAGTATGCCTTTGAGACTTGAGTGTGGTGTGTATAGTCAATCTATTTTATTTAAACAAAGTTTAAACTCACTTCTCAATGGTAAGTCAGTATACTGATACAATTGGTCTTTTATGGATAGGTAATATTATGTGGTGTGTTCTCAAAATAAAAGTGGAATTCAGCACAGGAAATGTTAATATATTACAATTCAGCATCTATTTTCCCCTTCTTCTCCCTATGCAGTATTATCTCTGTTTCCTAGTCATAAAAATTGCCAAGGTAGAATATAACAAAAATGACATTAAATGATCAAATGTGTCAGGATCTTTATATTTTACCAAGCAAACTGCACCAATCAGAACTTAAGTGAGACTTTTTTAAAAAAGAAGACAGGAAGTAAAGAAGAAACCCAATTTAAAGTGTTTTGTGTCTTATGATCTGATTCACATCAAACAAGTTTTGAAGCAGCTGAATAAATCAATTTTTGTTATAAGAAAGTCGTTTTATCTTTTATCTTTTTCTTGGCTATCAGCAATTAGTTAATATTTCAAATGTAGTAGCTTAAATGAGAAGGCAACAATCAAGAAAATTAAAAAGAGAGAGGAAGAATAAAACACAAAAATATATAATTTTTTAAAGATTAAAAAGAAAGGGTTTTGAAATCAATGATTTTTTTTTTTTTTTTTTAAACGGAGTCTCACGCTGTTGCCCAGGCTGGAGTGAAATGGCACGATATCAGCTCACTGCAACTCCGCCTCCCGGTTCAAGCAATTCTCCTGTCTCAGCCTCCTGAGTAGCTGGGACTACAGTCTCATGACACCATGCCCAGTTAAGTTTTGTATTTTTAGTAGAGAGGGGGTTTCACCATATTGGTCAGGCTGGTCCTGACCTCCTGACCTCAGGTGATCCACCCGCCTCAGCTTCCCAAAGCCCTGTGATTACAGGCATGAGCCATTGCATCCGGCCTAAAATCAATGCTTTTGATAAATTAAAGAGAAGGAGAAAGAGATTGAAACTGTATTTCCGATTTGTCCAGGTCATAGGGGGTATGATACTAATGCGACAAAGTGATTGTTTTGTGTGGAAAGAATCATAAAAAGAAGTACAAAACAGAAGTTGATGAAGTTAAGTGATCTGCCCAGAGTCACACATCAGCTAACAGCAGTGCTGGGAAAGGACACTCATCCTAGGGCTCTTTCTGTATTAAAAATTTTTGACTTACATTTCCATGATGATTATTGATACTGAATGTTTTTTTATGTTTGTTAGCCATTTGTATGTCTTATTTTGAGAAGTGTCTCTTCATGACCTTTGCCTGCTTTTTAATGGGTTGTTTTTTGCTTGCTGAATTAAGTTCTTTATAGCTTCTGGATATTAGAGCTTTGTTTGAGGCATGGTTTGCAAATATATTTTCCCATTCTGTAGGTTGTCTCTTTACTCTGTTGATAGTTTCTTTTGCTGTGCAGAAGCTCTTTAGTTTATTTAGGTTCCACTTGCCAATTTTTGTTTTTGTTGCAATTGCTTTTGAGGATTTTGTCATAAATTATTTGCCAAGGCTGATGTCCAGAATGGTACTTCCTATGTTTTCTTTTTTTTTATTATTATTATTATACTTTAAGTTTTAGGGTACATGTGCACAATGTGCAGGTTAGTTACATATGTATACATGTGCCATGCTGGTGTGCTGCACCCATTAACTCGTCATTTAGCATTAGGTATATCTCCTAACGCTATCCCTCACCCCTCCCCCCACCCTGCAACAGTCCCCAGAATGTGATGTTCCCCTTCCTGTGTCCATGTGTTCTCATTGTTCAATTCCCATCTATGAGTGAGAACATGCGGTGTTTGGTTTTTTGTCCTTGCGATAGTTTACTGAGAATGATGATTTCCAATTGTACTTCCTATGTTTTCTTCTAGGATTTTTATAGTTTGAGTTCTTACATTAAAATCTGTAATCCATCTTGAATTGACTTTTGTTTATGGTAAAAGGTAGATGTCCAGGTCCACTCTTCCTGCATAGTAAGTTTTAAAGCCAATAGCAGCTAGATGTGCAAAATGGGTTCTGACAGGCTGCTACCTATGTAATGATCATAAGAATTTTTTATAATTAAAATTTTTTTAATGTGCTGAAATAAGTTTCATGATGGCAAGAATTGTGATTTGTTTACTTTTTCATGTTTGTATCCTTTGTACCTAATGTCTTGCATAGCATCTAATAGGTGAATAATAAATTTTTAGTAAATGAATGAGAAAGTGAATGCCCAGAAATGAGAAAATGAAGTTCTTAACTTACATACCTATCATACTGCCTCTGTTGGGAGTGTTGCTATTTTTAAGAATGGGCTCTAAAGACAGATCACTTTATCCTGGTTGTATATTTAAATTACTCAGAGAGGCCAGGCGTGGTGGCTCACGCCTGTAATCCCAGCATTTTGGGAGGCCAAGGCAGGCGGATCACAAGATCAGGAGTTGGAGACCAGCCTGACAACATGGTGAAACCCGTCTCTGCTAAAAATACAAAAATTAGCTAGGCGTGGTGGCATGCACCTGTATCCCAGCTACTCTGGAGGCTGAGGCAGGAGAATCACTTGAACCCAGGAGGCAGAGGTTGCAGTGAGCCAAGATTGCACCGCTGTACTCTAGCCTATGTGACAGAGCAAGAGTCTGTCTCAAAAAAAAAAAAAAAAAAAAATTACTCGGGGAGCTTTTAAAACATGCCAGTGCCTTATCTCCACCCATGGGGAGTATTCTTTAATTGTTCAGGGCCTGCTTCTAGGGACAGGTAATATTTAAATCTCTTCGGGTAACAAACAAGAACAGTACACTTTGAGAACTACTGATTTATATGAAAGCTCCATGAGTGTCTCACATCCAAAGATAAATTAATCTTAGCTTTAAGCTAGACAAATGTATAAAAATATTCTGCTTTAATGTCTTCATTTTCCAAATGAGATAACTCAATATCAGACAGGTTAAATTATGTATCTACTAGTAAACATTGAGTAAGTGTCAAAGCTAGGACTGAAATTCAGGCCTTCCCTAGTCCAAGGCCCATTTCCCTGTACTACACTGCACCATTTCTCTCATGATCTTAGTAGCAACTGTTCAAACAATAATGTGTTTGTCCGTGTAGCTTAATCATGTGCATAATTTCAACAATTGAAGACAAAGAAGTAGCATTTTATTATTTTTGATGTTCAGTACAAAAGATACTCCTCCCAAATATTTGCAGCTTATGTAATGCAATTCGCTGAAAATTATTAATATATAATGTGATGAACATTATGTATATTATGATATATGATGTATAATATATGATATACATTATTATACATATCATATATATACATATACATATAATATATGATATATGATATATAATAATGTATTATATATTATATAATATATAATGATGTTCAGCACATTATATATTCATGATATTCTTTTTCATCTGGACACACATACAAAAGTAATAGAGAACCAGTTTGATTTTTAAATTAACGGGCTGTTATAGAGGACAAAAAAGATGATGAATGTCTGAAAATTCTACCATACCTGACTGTGGCATAATGTTAACCCTACACATAGTTATCATTTGGAAACCCTAACAATGAAAAAAAAAAAAACAAATCCCTTTAATAGTTTTCTATGGTATCTATGCTTCAGTTAATGGTCACATAAAAGAGAAGAAGAAAATAATTGGTTGTCCTGAACTTTTCCAGCCATTAAATAATTTCCAAATTAAAAACACAGTTCAGTTTTTATCTCCTCTTATCTTAGACTGCTGGTATTATAGAAATGTCTGCACATATCATTTTTTGTTTTTACTTAGGCCTCTTACAATAACATTTATCTACTTCAGTAATTGTGTTTTTTTTCCATAACCACTCCATCAAATAGATTTTATATATGTGTATTTACACATATAAATGGAAGCAAAGGTACTTTTATTTCATTCAACTTGAAAAGCTAGGTGTTGCAAATTGATTTGGTGTTATGTAATAGAGGAAATTAATTTTATCTGTCTTGGGTTGCTTTTATACAGCATAATTGAATCTGAAAAATAATTGTGCATTGAGTAACTTCAAATGATTTTGCCTTTTTGTTTATGTTCTTTAACATAAACAGTATTCACAGTATAGAGATTTGCTAAATTCATTGTTAGGATTTAATTTCATTTATTTGTTTCATTGTAAAAAAGTGATGGATTCATAATTATACTCCCCAGAGTAAATGTAACTGGATCCATACATGAAACTAAAGGAAAGGTGAAAGAGTCTACCCAAAAATAACATGCTCACCATCTTAACAAAAAGCAATTGCAAGAAATAACAAGATATGTAAGTTATCCCTATATTCTTAAAACAATGTACAAAGATTGGGCATGAAGCAAAATTGTCTCCCAAATAGGGATTTCATCTTTTCTCAGTTAGTGCAAAACACTGATACATCTCTGGGAAGCATTTGGAGCTATAGGCTGACCTGAATGATTTTCTCAAGACTTGACCGACTTCTAAAACATTCACACATCCCTGATATTCAAACCAAATTATTAAGTGCACGAATGAATTCCTTTTAAGGACTTTATGCCTTGCTGTATGACACTGATTATATTTAATATATTGATGGTGAGAAGAAAGCAGAAGGAAAAATCTTCCACCAGAGGAGATAGGGTCAAAATGTCACAGTTTAGAAGGATGAAATGAATTTTTTGTCCTACTTCAAATGTATCCAACCAAGTAATTTTTGACTAGTTTGTTGATTACCTGAAATCTTAATAGTTTCATTTCTGACATGTTTACACAATTTTAGCAAAAATCAATGGGAATTATTTTAGGCATGTAAAAAAGATTTTTAAATATTTTGTTATTTCTAACAATGTCTTCTTTTGCCTTCACTAAAATTGCTTTATTTCTGTCAAGTCGATTTTTATTGAAAATATGTTTCTTATTAGCTCAAGAGATAAGTGTGTGTCTTCTCAGTTACCTGATGTTTTTGCCACCTGGCTCAAGAGTACTAACCAAGAATTTTTCTCTGCTATAACTGTAGGCATTTGTTAAAAATGTCAGGCTGAGATACCATGGTACATACAAATTGGACATATTGCTGGATACTCTGGAAGTAAGCTATAATCATGTTACACAAAATGTGTCTAGAAGCTAATGATTTGTCTAAAATTTTAGGGTATGATCTCATTAGTTTTAAAATATGTAACCTCTGAGCAGGAATATATTCTGTTACAACTATTCTCTTTTATGTTATTATAAAGCATTTACATTCACATCAATGTAGACTATTAGCATCTCAACCAAGTCAACTGAAAAGTTTCAGGATATTGAGTAAGAATAATTCTATCTGGCACAATGGTAAATGTCAAAGTAGTAGTGACAACCAGTGTGTGATGACATCGTATCTTTAGGTATGATCTAAAGATACCTAATTGCTTATTTGTTTCAATAAATTAGATAGATAATAGATAAATAATATACATATAATTACAGATCTATTCATATACATACACATTCAATGTGTGCTATGTATGTCAGGGAAATTTCACATTTAGAATATTTGAGCTTTTATTTTATACTTTTAAGTAATCATGACTATTGTTTGAACCTACACTTATTTCCTTTTCATCTTTCCAGTATAGTAGTTTTTTTGTTTTTTGTTTGTTTGTTTTTGAGACGGAGTCTTGCTCTGTCACCCAGGCTGGAGTGCAGTGGCATTATCTCGGCTCACTGCTATCTCCTCCTCCCAGTTCAAGCAATTCTCCTGCCACAGCCTCCTGAGTAGCTGGGATTACAGGTGCGTGCCACCACTCCTGGCTAATTGTTATACTTTTAGAAGAGACGGGGTTTCACCATGTTGATCAGGCTGGTCTCGAACTCCTGACCTCATGATCCATCCACCTGGGCCTCCCAAAGTGCTGGGATTACAGGCGTGAGCCACCACATCCGGCCCAGTATAGTAGTTTTTGTGTGGAGGTTTTTATGTTAAAGCAGCAGTCCCCAACCTTTTTGGGACCAGGGACCAGTTTCATGGAAGACAATTTTTCCACAGAGCAGGGTTGGGGTGGGGGATGGCTTCAGGATGAAGTTGTTCCACCTCAGATCATCAGGCATTAGTTGGTCTCATAAGGAACATGCTACCTAGATCCCTCACATGCACAGTTCACAACAGGGTTCGCGCTCCTATAAGAATCCCATGCCACTGCTGATCTGACAGGAGGCAGAGCTCAGGTGTTAACGCTCACTCATCTTCCACTCATCTCCTGCTGTGCAGTCCAGTTCCTAACAGGCCACAGACCTGTACAGGTCCTTGGTTCAGGGGTTAGGGACCCCTGTGTTAGAGGACTAAAGTAAACAGATAGATGAGTAAACTATTTCTTGGATCCCATGTTCATGGATCGATATTCAATTGCTATGCTATTCTTTTGAGCTTTCTTACCAAATAAAGCTGTGATTACAATTCAGAGGTTTAAAATAAACTGCATTAAAAGCATAGGAAAAGCAATAAAGAAAATGGGTAATGGTCAAATAAAATCAGTGAAGTTTATCACTTAGTTTAAGATTTTGATATTGCATTATATTGCTCAATATTACTTATATTGATCACTCATGGTTTCTATAGTATCCATTCCAATTGCTTAAAAGGAAAGATAATGAAGTTTTATTTTCAGAAAAAAAAACAAACTATTTTTTTGTAGAATAGATTAGTCTTCAAATATTTTGCTCAGAAATATCATTTAACTGATACCTAGGTTCACCTCCAATTTACTTTAACTAGTATTTTAAAATCTTTTTAAAATAATGTGCCTTATAAATGTAAAATGTAAGATAGAACTTATTAATTTTTAGCAGCATAACAGGTTTGAATAATTCTTTTCATGGTAAAGATATCTTGCCAAACTTCTTGTGGCTTTGATTTGTTCTGAACCACCAGAGACACTCCAGGCTCTTGACCCCAGTCCCCAGGCTCTTCATTAGTAACTACAGGATGGGATTAGATGACAGATGAGATTAAATTTTCTTTAGAAACCCTTGATTTGTGAGATCTGACCTACCGAGAGAATCATGTTTCCATATAAGCACAGAGCATTTTCCCCACTAAGCCATTATATGAATTACCCCAAACTCTTTCCAGAAAAATGCTCTTGGAGTAGACTGAATAGGAGAAGGAATAGAGAGAGAGAATTTGGAGGGTCTGCACCAGAAAAAACATAACAGCAACTAACATGCCTGAAACGTTCCGTGTCTTGTAAGTCCTGCATTAAGTACTTTACGTGCATCCACCAATTTTATCCCACTAATAATCTTATGATGGAGATTACTATTACCCTTGTTTTTAAATGGGGACACTGAGGCTTGGAGAGATTTAGTGCCCAGGTAATGAGTAGGAATGCTGGGGTATATCTCCTGTTCCCAACCATTACAAGTAACTGACAAACTGTAATCTTTCTTCTATGTTCTTTGATTTAAAACAACAATAATAATAAGGAAATGAAATCTTTGTTTTTAACTCCATGCTGGGGCCAGTGCCAATGCTCAACTGAGGCTGGAGCTCTGGTTCATAATTTTTTTTATGGTAAGTTTGTTTCCGGGCTTGTGTTTCGCATGATAGTCTGCAAACTATTATTGAAGCAGTCTGGCTGGAAACCATTTTGTGTCCTATAATTTTTCTAATTTACCACAGTGGGAAATAGAAAGGAGAGAGAGCACCAGGCTAGCCATCTGAAGACGGCCTTCTCTTTCTGTGTGGCCTTAGGCAAGTTATGTAGCCTATCTGGACCTCTTACCACGTCTATAATAAAAGATTAGATTACACAATTGCCTATGACACTGCAAACATTAACGTTTTGATTCTTCCTTTGGTCATAAATGACAACATAGGAACGTGGGGGACATTGAGTGTTTTAGTTGATGTCAAACCCATAAACAGGAGTGGCGCACCTGGCATTCAAAACTATGTTTCTTAATTCCTGAGTCAGATATGTATTACTACACTGTGCGGGCCCCTTTGGGGTCAACATCAACCCCAGTGCAGTTGGAAAGCTGTCTTGTAGGGTTATGCAATAGAGTTTTGAACTTGGCCCTGTCCCATCTAACATTACCAATAATGTAACTGAGGATATAATGTGCTTGTCAAATTGAATAATGTCTAAACATTACAGTAATTCATGATATCATCTATAAAACAATAAAGAGTTTTAAATTCTTGAAAGGTAGGACTGATGAGGTAAATTCAATAAATGAAACCTCCTTGTTTTTGTCAGTGATTAAAATAATTTGTATAAACACCATAGAAATGTCTGGTTAACAGCATATTAATTGACACAGGTTTAGTATTCAACAGTGTGAGGGTGATGTTTGAAAACTATAATCACAGGCTACAAAAGAAGTATAGCATCCACATGCAGGTAACCCTATGAGTAGAGAGAGTAGTGGGGCTCAGTGTTTTTCCTCCACTACATACCTGAAAGATAAAGCTTCTACAGATATTACTAAAAGTTTTGCAGATGGCAGCAAAGCTAAAAGCAGCAGCCACCAGTTGTGCAGAATGTGCAGCCTGTTAATTCAAACCTTTACCATTTGAGGTCTCAGTGATTGTGAACACCTGCTCTGCTGTGAAGACTAGGTGTGAACCATACAGAAAGGTTATCCTCAGGCTATAAAGCCACTTCTTACTGCCATGGGTGAACAGGGGCAGAAACAAAGCAAAAATGTGAACAAAGCCCCTAACATAGAGATGGTCATAGAGATTGTCCTTCAAATCAAAGCTGACAGAATAAGGAAGCTTTAGTTCAGACAGGAAGAGACTTAACAGGGATTTGGAAAACTCTCCTTATATAATTTGTAAGTATGGATACCCTTTCCAATTCATTCTCTGGCAGCCTATGTAAACAATTATTCTGGGTTATGAATGGTGACAATCTAGCCACATGTTCTTCATGTCACACAATGGAAACATCTGTAAAATACATGGATAAAATCAACATTTTGGTTTTTTTTAAATTATACTTTAAGTTCTAGGGTACATGTGAACAATGTGCAGGTTTGTTACATATGTATACATGTGCCATGTTGGTGTGCTGCATCCATTAACCTGACATTTACATTAGGTTTTTCTCCTAATGCTATCCCTCCCCCCTCCCCCACCACCCCAAAACAGGCCCCAGTGTGTGATGTTCCCCACCCTGTGTCCAAGTGTTTGCATTGATCAATTCACACCTATGAGTGAGAACATGCGGTGTTTGGTTTTCTGTCCTTGCGATAGTTTGCTGAGATTGATGGTTTCCAGCTTCATCCACGTCCCTACAAAGGACATGAACTAATCCTTTTTTATGGCTGCATAGTATTCCATGGTGTATATGTGCCACATTTTCTTAATCCAGTCTATCATTGATGGACATTTGGGTTGGTTCCAAGTCTTTGCTATTGTGAATAGTGCCACAGTAAACATACGTGTGCATGTGTCTTTATAGCAGCATGATTTATAATCCTTTGGGTATATACCCAGTAATGGGATGGCTGGGTCAAATGGTATTTCTAGTTCTAGATCCTTCAGGAATTGCCACACTGTCTTCCACAATTGTTGAACTAGTTTACAGTCCCACCAACAGTGTAAAAGTGTTCCTATTTCTCCACATCCTCTCCAGCACCTGTTGTTTCCTGACATTTTAATGATCGCCATTCTAACTGATGGGAGAAAATTTTTACAATCTACTCATCTGACAAAGGGCTAATATCCAGAATCTACCAAGAACATAAACAAATTTACAAGAAAAAAATCAAACAGCCCCATCAAAAATTGGGCAAAGGATATGAACAGACACTTCTCAAAAGAAGACATTTATGCAGCCAACAGACAACATGAAAAAATGCTCATCATCACTGGCCATCAGAGAAATGCAAATCAAAACCACAATGAGGTTTTTTTTTTTATTTTTAATTTCCCTTTAATTTGCACTTTCCAGCCCAGTGATACAGTATTTATTTCTGTGTATTTTCTGTTGCCAGATGTGACTCATATTTATTTGCTATCTGCCCTTGTATGTCAATAATGGGTTATAAGGGTCATAATACACTTAATATGTGCATCATTCAAACCTAATAAAAAAATTGTAGACAATCTACTCGAAAAATAAATGTCATCCTCCCCTTCCCCCAATGCCTGCAATCAGCCCTCATATATAAAGATCAAATTCAACAATTTTCTTCAAACTAAACTCTACCTACATTTGAAAGGAGTTTCTTTTATTCTCTAGTGCAGTTATGCCATGTGTTACTATACCTTGGCCTGGTATTAGTAATGAATTTGTCCTCATGGGAATTTGTGACTTACTGGCAACTGTGTGAGTGCTCTTCACTGCTTTGTTAATAACCAGCTCTTTTCCTATAGAGCACGTTTTCCTTGGTGGATGGAAAGCATCCCTTCCTGGGGCATACACTTAATCAGAATATGTAGACAATTTCTATCTCTTAGAGAAGTAGGGACAACAAGCTTAAAAATAACTTACACAGAAGAACAGCAGCAAAGTAATTCGTTTGAATCCTTTTATTATGTTGTTGCCAGAATAAATATCTGTATAACAAGTTCCATCATAGAAAATTATATTAAAGGAATTGTGATTAGGCTTGTCATTTCCCCAGTGTATGTACAAATGAGTTTCTTTATAGCTAGCTTTTACTGTATTCTTAAAATATTACAAACATATATAGTCCACGCTAGCAATAGGAAATCAATGGATAGTTACAAGAAAGAATGACTTCATAATGATTTTTGACCTCCCAAGTCACCAGAAGATTTCAATATGAGAGTCCCTTCCCCCTACACCCCCACCCAGCACCCCCTGTTTCTCTCCTTCTCTTTTTTTCTCTGAACTAGCTTTAGCTGCATGGCTCCCATTTATCTTAATAGAAGTTACTTAATGAAGGTTATGCATATCGCTTAGTAACTCAGTGGTTAAATTATTCTGTTTTGTGCTTTCTGATCTACAGGTATTTTTTTTTTTTTGCTTCAAACATTCACCAATATATTTCACAATTGCTATTTGTGTTTCTAGCCAGATAATTCATGAGTTTATTTTAAAGTATAATTATGCTTATGCAATTTCTGCAAGACATGATATTGACAACAGTGGCATAAGTTCCATCAAAATGTAGAATCTGGTATAAACATTGTTATATGTGTGTATGCGGTAAATATAAGCACACAAAATACTTCTTTAATTTTTTTTCTGAGTGACTAAGTAGTCGTCATAGAGGTTTAGTCTGAAAATGGACTAATAGCTGTTGCAATTGTCTTTTTCAGTTCAAAAATGATAGTTAAAAACTACACTAATTTGTATTAATTCTTACCAGAAAACGGTTTATCCTCTTGTACGTAATACTTTTAATTCTAAATATGTGTGTGTGTCCTGTAAACTTGCTTGAAATACTGGTTTGAAAATGTAATTGGTCTTTATTTAAACTGAGACAAGCCTGTATATGCTACAAATAGTTTATTTTAGCAAGTATAGTCTTTGATAATTTGAACTAATCTTTAAATTCAGTTCACCTTCTACTTAAAAACTTTAATGGTTTTCTACGTACTTCCTTCTCATAAACCTCTGAAGATTTTTATGCATAATGAATAAATTTTATATTCTAAACCTAGAATTCAGCCCCTTGCACAGAAATCTCATCCTACTTATCCACAGTTTTATCTGTGACTCTCCAAGACAGAACTTCTCTTATGGCTAGAAAGGCTTCATGGGCATCCCCACACATTTGCTTCTTCTTCCCTCAAACTTATATCAAAAAATGCCTCCACTTTATACTTTGCCTGCAAATTTTACTCATAGATGAAGACAAGGTTAAGTTCTGCCTTTTCCATGAAAGTTGAATTATTATTGAATCTTATTAAAACCCAAACTGAGCAGTTCTAGTTGAACCTCCTATGGGTGCAAGACTTTGTGACCAATAGCATTGCTTATTATAGATATGTAGGTGTTGGCCTCTACCAGTGGGGCAGTAACCACCCTGAAAACAAGAGCCTCATCACAGACAGGTTTTATATTCACCCTAATATATACATACAGACATGGAATAAATGACTTTTATAAATTTGGAAGTCTTCAAACTTGAAAGTGTTCAGCTAGGTCAAAGCAGGGCAGCTGAGCTTTTGAGAATATTCACATCTGCAAGGATGTTTCCCTATCAGTAAGAACTTTCATTGATCCTATAAAATATATCAGTCAAAACATCTAGATTAAGTCATTTATTTATTTAATATATTAAAAATAGTAAAATAACTTTGACTTGTGGGTTGAATCATGCAAAATTCAACAAGTTTTATAGTTCAAGTGTGGTTGAACGTCAGCAAATTTATATGTTTCAACCTAATATTTGCCAAAATTTTTGGATACAGTAGTAAATAAGAGGCTGTCCTTATGGAACATATAGTATAGCCAATTAGAAGAATTACATTTGATTTTATAGGACACTGAAAGTTCTCATTCTTGTCTAGATGATCTCATGACTGAATTTGTTTGGACACAAGTCCTTACAGCAATTAGATTTTAATAGTAGTTCCCAGTTATACTTGACGAGTAATGGTCTTTTAAAAAAATCAATCTCAAAAGGTTGAGATGTGCCCCATCTTCTCTTACCAATCTATTATTATGTTACCTGTAATCTGCCAATTTCTATAGGTCCCCTAAACTGGTCAATGCATATTGTATTGTCTCTTAAATTGAGAAACTTTATAATTTCAAAGTATGTTCTACGTGCAATTAATGTTACCTTTTGTAGCTTCCTTTCAAGTTATTTCCCTATTACGACAAAAAGCTGTCACCTCAAAGTTGGTGAATGAATTATTGTTCCCCATATTCATGCACATCTTAATTATTAAGGCTTAATTCATTTTTTTAAGCTTTATAATTTCCCAGACCAAAAATAAGAGATTGATTTCTTAATAGTTATCCGTACAAATAGGCTGTTTTGCCTTTCCTGATAACCTGCTTTGCCTAAATTATGAAAGAACAATTTGGAAGAACAAATTGTTCTCTGGAAGAACAGTGGCTGGAAAAAGACACAGTGTTCCAGAAGCTGATGCCCCACAGCTCCCTGCAAGGTTAGGGCAGTATTTTCTCTATTGTCCCCCTGATGATAACCTGCATATTGCTGGCCTTTTTGACTCAGAGCAGCACAAAGGGCTTACGTCTCCAAAAACTTGAACACAGTGACTCCATGTCTTGATCTGAGCCCATCATTTTAAAAAACATAAGTTGGATTCATTTATTTCTAAGTCCTTATATCTGTCTAATATAGATAAACATTATCTTCTGTGTTAATTATAGTAGATTGGTACCAAACTTGGTAAATTTATCTTATTTTTTATTCTTTAGTAGTATTTTGGCATATCACAGACCAGAAAAGTTGTGTGCTATCAAGGCCTCCATTTTAAAGAAAAGTTTTAAATGCTGTCTAATAAGAAATCATTAATGATTCAGTTTTGACTGTTCTTATTTTATCCTCTTTTAGCTCAGTGTTTTCGTAACACTCTACTATGTGCCTGAGATTATCAGCTGATTCCTTTCTATTGTGTTACTATTTCATAAACTACTTCAAAAGCATTTTTGTGTTCTCTTTTATATTTATGGAGGCATTTGAGTTATCAACTTTAGTTTTCTTTTGGGTATACTGGCCTTAGACTGATTTTAACACAATTTCAAAACTTGGTGTTCAGTTTTAGACAAATCTCCAGAGGCTCAGTCCTTTGATTCACATAAAACTACAAGAGTTTGTTGGCTTAGTTAGATCTTGTATGAATCTCAGGTATTTGTGTGTGAAAGCCTAAAATAACACCTTCCCAAAATGTTCACTGCTTACTTTAATTTTACCTGATAAAAAACTTTCTTAGTGAATTTTACTTTAAGAAGCACTGTTTCACTCAAGAATATGGTTAAGAGATTTGATTGGCTTCAGTCAAGAATAATCATGTTATAGGTGGTTCTTTTTGTCCTTCAGACCTTGGGATACCAAGTTTCTTCCCTTCCTTCTTTCCTTTCTTTCTTTTCTTTTCTTTTTTTTTTTTTTTTTTTTTGAGACAGAGTCTTGCTCTGTCACCCAGGCTGGAATGCAGTGGCATGATCTTGGCTCACTGCAACCTCTGCCTCCCAGGTTCAAGTGATTCTCCTGCCTCAGCCTCCCAAAGTAGCTGGGATTACAGGTGCGTGCCACCACGCCCAGCTAATTTTTTGTATTTTTAGTAGAGACAGGATTTCACCATGTTAGCCGGGATGGTCTCGATCTCCTGACCTTGGGGATACCATGTTTGTTAAGAAGAACATCATTCTGGACTCCACTAGACACCCTGCCTAAACTAATATAGAATATTCACTCAATGTGTCTACAATGGCATCTCTTGTTTTACAATAATGACTTAGCTACTAGTTGCGATAGGTTTATTATTTAATCTCTATTACCTGATTTTGAAAGCATTGTTGCCTTCAAGGAAAAAATGGTAGATTACAATGTCCTTATACTAGACAGCTATTTTGAAAATCAGATTACCTGTTTAAAGATGCTGCATTTCTCCTTCTAACATTTTCATGTGACCTAATTAAGCTGACCTTGTTTTCCTGAAGAATTGTCAGTAACTCGTGGTGTTCTCTATTTGGATTATGAAGCTGCTCAGTGTCTTAAGATTAGGGTGATGAGACTAAGGTTTTGCCAGTTTATGTCAAGTGGCCTTATTGACTTTTTTGAGAGCAGCTGCCAAGTTTTTAGCCTTCCGATAAGGCAATAGCAACCTAACCAAATCTCTCTAAGAGAAGCTTTCCATAAACTATTAGTTAGGATGGGGGAAGTGTCCTTGCAAGGGAGGTTTTGTTTTTGTTATTGCTTTTGCCTAGACTCATCCTTCACTTATTATCAGTCACAGAATTCCGTGGCCAGGCTTATTTGAAATCAAGACAGTGTTTACTGATCATAATAGAATTGTGTCACCTTTAATAATACTCAATTCCCTTCCTGTGTATCATCAAATGCACACGAATACCATGATCATCTCTAATACTAAGTCTCTACTAGGAACTACAGGAACCTAAAACTTATAAAATCCATTTGTTACCTTATTGAATGTGAACATGTAAAACTATGACCTTTCCTTAATCTCTAACTATTTCAACATTCCTGTCATGCCCCAATTGTAGTTAGAAAGACATTTTCATGTCTAGATTAGTTAAGAAAACAAAAATCATCTTATTAAGGAAGTCATTTTCTAAACAAGATTTGAGCTAATGCTATACTTTGTCTTTTCTTTTGCTGTCTTCTTTTTTAAAATTAGTTTTTTTTATGAAATCTCCATATAATTTTAGTACAAATGACGAAAGGAGATTATTCTGAGATATGTATTTACTATCTGAGATGACCATGGTGCTTATGGTCATTATTTATCTTCCTTATTTTCATAAATGCCTGGGAATAAACCTCTTAGAGATACAAAATGCTAGTTTTCAAACTTACCACTATTCTAGATTTCCTGTTATTAATGTAAATAATACTAATTTTGGATAGTTTGATAGATTCTCATCAAATTAGTAGATCATATTTGGAATGGCCTTACTTAAAAGATAGGTTCCATGGCTTATACGAAAGATATGGGCCATTCTTCCTCAAAGCAGCTGAAGGTGAGGTAGCATAGGAATCTGTGTAAGTACTGATAGATATTTGCCACATATATCAAGAATTCATGGGAAAACTATGGTTTCAAACATGAAACCAAAATTGATCATGCCAAGTAATCTGACATTGGTTCAATGTCAAAATTTTGTTACTATTTTCCAACCCTAAATGACAATGCAAACCTAAATAGATATGTTTTTCATTGGAAAGTATGTGTTGGGGTCAACTAATGAGTCTCTAGGAGGATGCTTAAACCTTTATTAAGAAATACATGTCCAAATTCAGGCATATAAAAATAGTACCATGATATACAACTGTGCATTTTAATAAGTGGCCCTTATAACTTGAATTTCATAATTTTTAAATATGTTCTGTGTGCAATGGTATAACTTTTGTCATCACAAAAGCAAATACTCACATAATGGGTATTTAACTTGCAACCAACATGCATTTCACGTTGACAACTCTACATATCATGCTCCAAAGACTATTTATATGGACCTCAAACATATGGACCTCACTTCTGATCGATGCACAAGGATCCTTTGTTAAGGAATTCAAAGTTTTTCTCTGTTATTAAAATTATGGAAAATCATCACTAGAACGCTAAAATTTATTTTTTGCTTTATAATAAAACTTTTATTTGATGATCATTAATGATTATCCTGAAATGGCAATATAATACAACCATTTGATATATAAGAATAGTTCATTTATTAGTCAAGTTGTATAATTTTGAGAATTTGTTCATAAACAGATTTTAAGAAAAAGCATGAAGCTATTAATCTAATTGAATACAGTATATGTGTTTGTATGAATGAGTTATTGGACAGGAAGGAATTTTTCTATTTGCTGTGGCAGATAAATATTCACTAAATGCTTTGAGATGGAAGGATTCAATTTAGAAATATCCTAGATATTTTGAGAGAATGGCATTGATACATGTGAGCTATCTTTGAAAAACTAATAATTGAGTGAGACTCCTCTATCATTGAAAAACTAATAATTGAGTGAGACTCTTTCGACTACATCATGGAAATTGTTTTTCATATTTAATTATGAAAGATCCAATGTGCTTATTTGAAGTACTTTTCTTTTATCTCTATGGAGAAGACTAACCATAGTAAAAGCTTTGATTCACTTTTTAAGATTGTGCCTTGGCTCCAGCCTTTAAATTAGTCATTATACATTTTATTCTTCCCTTGGCAAGTATTTGAGGACCAATTTTCTTTTTATTAACAGGGGAGAAATAATGGTTTTTTGAATAAGCTAATCATTCTTAGTATTTGGCCAGATTTCATTTTTCCCATCTTAGGCTGACTTTGTAAATAGTACTTAATATCTTGATAGCTATATACCCTACAGACTCAGTGATTCTTACTTTAAAATAAAGAAATACTTTCAGTCTTATCTCAGATGGTGATTATGCTAAACATGTATTATATAAACACTAGAAAAATCTTTAAATTATTCAGAATAAGTACTAGCCTCCCTCTAGCACCACAATGTTTTCTTAAATTTCCCTCAAAAATTATACAGCAAAAAGTTTCTAATAATGTCTATTTCATTTTCTTTCTATTTAGTATACATTTAGCAAGTATAAAGGATATTCCAAACCTTGGATTAGATAATAATGGGAGATATACCTTGGATTTCTTGGTAGTTGGTAGTGTTTTTTTCTAGCAAACTTTTTCTGGACATACTATTTATTTATTAAAGGTGAGTTCAGGCAGCTCTCTGCTTCTTCTCACATATAGTAGCTAGATCATGATTCTCAATGTCATTCAATCCAGATAACCATAGTTACCAATATTACAGTCATAAAAACAAATAAGTTTCTTCTTATTTAAGAAAATGTCCTGAAAATTGCTTTATGTAATCAATCAACTCTCCCCCATTTAATGTGACCATACTACCTTAGCTCACAAGAAACAACATAAAATGACAATTTTCATTCAATGGCAGTCATCAATTAGAAGCTGGTATGAAATGTTTAATGTAATCCAGGCTGTTGTGAAATCAAGTATCTTTTCTGTGTCTTGAAAAACTTTGTCATGGTAGAAATTTTATCAGTTATTCACCATGAAGTTTCTTCTACCGTATTTTTACTGGCAGAAATCTAAGTCTTGTCAGTTTGGCTCCTGTCAGCAGGCAGACTATAGATACTGGAAAATACAGTTTAACTCCATCTAATTTCAAGTCTCACTAGCTTAAATCTATTGAGGAAGATTGCATAACTAAAACAAAAAAATTATGGATCCAAAATAACATAATGAGGACAGTAAAGATTAATTTAAGTGCTTTTTAAAAATTTCATCTGGCTTTTCTCTTGGAAGGCCTGTGCAACTCATATAATACCAGATTATTTAGTACCTGAATGCATCTGAACTTTGTTTAAAGTTGATAATTTTGTTGACTCATTCAAAAATCTTCTTGCTGAGCCCTAACTTGTTTTATCTTGGGATTTCACATACTTTTTAAGAGGTACAGGAAGGAGAAGCAATAATGAATGATAAAAGCTGTAACTCCCTTCACTAGACTGTAAATAAAACCTTATATTAATTCTTTTGCCGTGACAGAAAGCAGTGCGATGAATACTTCTGGGGCCAGTTATTTAATCATTTTATTTGGCCATGGGAAAATAGTATAGGTGGTTTTCATGCTTTTTTGTGTGTGAACTGTCATAATTAAGGTGAATTGGAAAAGAATTGATTACATAGTTGAGTGACATAAACTGTACTCTGAAAAGAAACAGTTTTAACCAGTATCATTTATCAGCTAGATCACTGTATTAGCATCCTAAAAATAAGTTCCTTGCTTCAAATCTTGCCTCTTTCCATTCTCTCCTGAAAAGGCAGCCAAAGTGATCTTTGTGGAATTGAAATCTAACCATGTCACTTTCTTCTTAAAATCTTTATTTTGCCTCACTGTGGTTTTCAAGCAAAATTACAAACTCCTTGGTTGTGATTATTATATACGTGTATATAATATATGTATATATTAGATACGTGTATATAATATATGTATATATTAGATACGTGTATATAATATATGTATATATTAGATACGTGTATATAATATATGTATGTATTAGATACGTGTATATAATATATGTATGTATTAGATACGTGTATATAATATATGTATGTATTAGATACGTGTATATAATATATGTATGTATTAGATACGTGTATATAATATATGTATGTATTAGATACGTGTATATAATATATGTATGTATTAGATACGTGCATATTATATATGCGTATGTGATACGTGCATATTATATGTGCGTATGTGATACGTGTATATATTATATGTGCGTATGTGATACGTGTATATATTATATGTGCGTATGTGATACGTGTATATATTATATGTGCGTATGTGATACGTGTATATATTATATGTGCGTATGTGATATGTGTATATATTATATGTGCGTATGTGATATGTGTATATATTATATATGTGCGTATGTGATATATGTATATTATATATGCATATATGATATGTATATATATTATACATATATCTTAGGTTATCTTAGTTATATTTATATATTATATATGTATATATAATATGTACATATATAATATATACACACATATATTATATACACATATATAATATATACGTATATACACATATATAATATATACATATATGTATATATAAAAATATATGTATATTTATCGTGTGTGTGTGTGTGTGTGTGTATATATATATCACTAAGAGGTGTTGTTTTAGTTTCTCTCTGCCCTCTCTGCCTGATGAATCCCTAATCATTTATTTACTCAATGATTTTTCAAGATTTTCTCATGATCATCTCTTCCAGGAAGACTTCCAAGAGACACTATCTTGATTCTTCCTCTGTGGTCCAGTAGTAGCTGGTGCATTTTTCATTTAGTTCTGTAATCACTGGTTTCCTTGTGTTTCTCCCTCTATTAGACTATGTGCATTTTAAGGGGAAAAAAGTACAATATTACATTCCTCACTGTGTGCTAGGTGCCCAGGGCTGTCCTTGGATACATGTAGTGGGTCCTCCATGAGCAAACATTTGTTAAATCCATGAATGGTAAAGAGTTCTATATTCAAACCAAGGCTCTGACAATACTTCACTGTAAAGCCTCAAAAAAATTTTTTTTAATATAAGGCTAGAGATTCTTGCCTCAAGTGGGTTGTTGTAACTGTTAAGGGCAGTGTAAAAGTTCCTTGAAATTTCAAAAGAAAAAAGATACAAAGATGATAGCATTATTGTTAAACATGCTCTTTATGCAGCAAAGGTGTTTGTTAAGGTTCATGATTGGTTGAGAATAGTAAGGGAGAAAAACTGAAGTTATGAATCTTTTCTTTTTCACTTGTTTTTCTGAAGTCCCTAGGATTACTTTTTTGCTACAGGAATACAAGGGGGTTGTCACGTTTTTCTTTCTATGCTTTATGGCTCTCCAGTTCCAAGTGCTGAGTAGGAAAGATGACTCTTTCACTGTAAGAAATAGTAATAACATTTTCAACTCAAAACTCACTAATCAGATTGATTAGCTGTCCACAAAAATAAAATCCTGCAACAACACATTCCTATTTTTAAAACATTTTTTGGCATTTTGTATTTTTTCATTATTTAATAGAGTGAAATTTTATTGCTTGGGGATGCTCAGTTCACTTGAGAAACCAAACTTAAGAAAAAGACAACTAGAAATTGTCTTTATTGAAGAAAAAATACAGAGATAAAACTAAAGAGAAAAAATGGCTTTAAATGTGTTGTAACACAGAAAGTCAACTTAGTTATTTGGGAAGCCACAAAAACTATCATCTCCCAGGCCATAGTTTCAGAAGTTTCTCTGCTTTATCGGGTTTTACACACTAAACTGAAAGAACAGAAGCCTAATTCTGAAAGAAGCACCAATGAAACACTAAGTATGTTCCTTCTTCCTGTTGGCAGGTAGCTGTTAAGGTAGATGTTGAGGACAAAATCAAGTGTATCGGAAAGTTTAGTAAACAGAAAGCCAGAAAAACTAATTCTACTTCTTGACTTGGTGACTTGGCTGGAAGGTAGGGGAAGAGGAAGGGTTACTTTTGCTTCTCTGAGTGTCTATTTCTTCATCTGTATGATGGATGAGCAGGACTAGCTGTTCTCTGATACCCCCTACATCTGAAGTTACCAGATTCTAAACAAACCTGGTTTTTATATCTTCAGGTACAACTTTCTCTCACCTCAACCAAACCCCATTTTCTCAAGCAGGAAGGGAGAAAAGAAAGGGGGAACAGAGAAAAGAAAGGCGAGAAAGAGGAAAGAAGGTAAGCTGTAAGGAATAGAGGGAGAGAACAAGGGAGGGAAGGAAGAAGTGAGTAAGAAAGAAAGCAAAGATTTCAAAAACTGTAACCCTGGACATATTCTAGGCTCTCTCAAGCCTTACAGTAAAGAAGTTTTTTTCTAATAATACCAAATATGAATAATTCCTATCATACATGAATAAGTTTGGTTTATTAGTAGTAAACAGATTATCATTCCTAGGATATAAGAAGTAAAGTTGCTTTCTGATAATAAAATTTGAAAGATGTAATTTAAAACTTATTTATTGTATATACTATATGATATAAACTTCCACAAATAATTTGAAAAAATAATTTCCATAAATATTTCAAAAAATAATTTTTCATAAAATTTTAAAATGATTTTTTGCATGGTATGATACTTTTTTTTACACTCAAAGTATTCCTAGGCACTAGTCACGATAGCAAAGACATGGACCCAACCTAGGTGCTCATCAATGGTGGACTGGAAATGAAAATGTCTTATATATACATCACAGAATACTATATAGCCATGAAAATGTTCCTTGCAGCAATATGGATGCAGCTGGAGGCCATTATCCTAAGCACATTAATGCAAGAACAGAAAACCAAATGCTACATGATCTCACTTATAAGTGGGAGCTAAACATCGAATACACATAGACATAAAGATGGCAACGATAGACACTGGGAACTACCAGACTGAGGAAGGCAGGAGGGGGATCATTGGCTGAAAAACTGCCTGTTGGGTACTATGGTCACTACCTGGGCAACAGGATCATTTGTAAGCCAAACCTCAGTGTCACGCAATATACCCATGTAACAAACCTGTACATGTTCCCTTTAATCTATAATAAATGTTGAAATTATAAAGAAAACATATTTCTAGAAAGCATTAATTAACCATAAATGTTCAGTTATGTTGACTTTCATGGAATTTAAATCTGTTTTCTTTCTATGTGTCTAATTTATCACTTTGACAGACGGCTTTCTTTTGACTCTTCTTTTTCTCCTTGATCAGATGATACCACCCGCTTCTCCCCCAATCCCACACACATATAAATGCGTATAGTCATGCTTCTATTCTCTTTCTTCCAGCTTCTTTTTCTTCTCTTATCCCTTTTCCCTCTCATTGTGGTCTTTAACTATTATAGCTGCTAAGTTAGGGCAAGAAACTCTGTAATATCTCTAATATTGCAGATTAAGAAATGCTGCTGGGTTAGATAACTAAGCTCATAAGGAGCCATGGGGAAGGTGAGTCAGAAAGAATCCTTATAATATGGACACTGACCTTGTTAATGTTCTGGGCACCGGCATACACCACCACCCCCCCACCACCCACACACAAAAACTCATAATTAGTACTGCCTTTGGGTAGTTACTGCCTCTCATCTTCATGAATCTTAAGTGATAGAAAGAGAGGCTGAAGCTTTATCCATTCCAGAGTAGGAGAAAAGTGCTTATAAGGGAGTTATGAGTATGGGCTTTATTGTCATACACTCCTGGAATTTCAGTTCTGGATTCAACTAGCTATGTCATCTTGGGCTAGTCATATACATTCTTTGACACTTAGAAACCTCGTGTAGCAGGAAGATGATGATGAACGTACTATAACTCTTCACCTTGTGAAGATTAAATAAGATAATGTACCACAAAGCTCTTAGCACAGTAAACTTTAGTTTTCATCTCAAGATGTGAAAAATGTATTGGGGTTGAACCTGAATGATGACCTTAAGACCATGCCTCAGAGTGTGGTTCTCATCTAGCTACATCTGTGTCAACTACTACAACAGAACCTCTGTGGGTGGGGCTGAGAGGATGGATTTACATGAGGATCCTGAATGATGCTTTGGCACCAAGATATTTCTGAAACACTGCCTCAGAGACTTATCTTCAATTTAAAAGTAAAAATCAATAGAAATATTGGATTCAATATGCAGTTTTCAATTTCCAATCAAGGTTTCTATTGTGTACTTTCAAAAATATTCTTTATCTTCTGTACATTTGTACTGAAAATAATATGTTTTGATGTAGGCCTATTTGGAATAACTTGTGTCTTCATCCCTAACTTTTGAATAAAAATTACCAACAGACCAAATTTTTGAATTTATATTTTCACAGTGCCTGGTTATTCACAGATATTAAATTTAAGTGTGACATTAGTTTAGTCATTTTCAATTGTGTGGGATGTTTTCAAGTTGAGAGAATAATTGAAAGGGATTTTATGTCAGAAGTATATAAATATTTAAATGAAGTTTTTACCAATATATACTATGTCCTAGTGAATTTGTGGTTAAAGAGCTAATCTTCACCAGGAATCAAGAAAAATTAAGTCACAAATGTGCTATTCAAATAGAAAACCTTTGTGATCAAATGAGGACCATACTTGGTTAAAAAAAATTAATTTATTTATTCCTATTTCCATAAGTTGCATTATATCTACACTATTCCCAGGATGGCCCCAATAGAAGTGTTCTTGCCGGGAAGACATGAATTCCTCGTTCTATACCTGTGAATATGCATGGGATGTCATCAATGGTAAAGTGAGTCTTCCTAAATGCTAAATGCCAAGTAGAATAAGAGCAAATGTTGGGCTTAGTTGATTTAGCTATAAAAATACTCAGTGATAAATAAGAATGGTTTCATGATACAACTATGTTTGGTTTAAGAAAAACAAGTACTTGTTCCTATTCGAAGAGACAACAGCTGAAATGAAAAAGATTTGACAAAGAAAGCATAGTAATGGAATGATTTCTTAAACTGACGTGTAGACAAGCAGGTAGATAAAAATCTCTGTCTTGTCTTCAGCATGGTATTTTAGACAGATCAATGAACTGAAGGTGTGAACAGAGTGGAATGAATACAGTAGTCCTCTCTTATCCAAGGTTTCACTTTCTATAGTTTCAGTTACCCAGGCTCAACCCATGTCATTGTGTTGTATCAACAGTGCAGTAAGATATTTTGAGAGAGAAAAAGAGAACAGAAGAGACGACATTCACATAACTTATATTATATGGTTATAGTGGTTCTCTTTTATTATTAGTTGTTAACCTCTTACTATGCCTAATTTATAAATTAAACTATCACAGATATACATATATATATGGCTTGGTACTACTCAGTTTCAGGCATCCACTGAGGGTATTAGAAAGTATCCCTTGCAGATAAAGGGGGACTTCTGCAAAACAGTAAGAATTGGAAAGCACAGCATGTATTACTTCATCAGGGAAAATGCCTTATACATTGCTATAACACAAGAAATGATACCGACGGGACAGAAAAACAAGCAGGCTCCATTGATTTTCCCTGGCTCCTCATATTCCTTACTAATGCACTTGAGGAAGTAAATAATGCATACAACTGATTGCATTAGAGGTGACTGTCTCCTTATTCATGCATAAGTCAAAAGGCATTATTAGTGCGTTAGAGACTTGGAATCAGTTCCAGATTGCAGAGTCTCTTTGCCTAATGACTGTCACAAATGGGAAACTCACAAACCAAAGCAACCAAACAAGACTTTTTTCATAGTTAGCTCATATATTGCCTTCCTTTGCATCATAAAAATAAAAATGTTGTTTTATGGAACAAACACTTTTTTAATGCATGAAATTTTTATCAAGTAAGAAAAGACATAAAAGGTTTTCATAAAGGAATATTATATTGTCCTTTGTGATCCTTCTTAAATCGGTTGTTGTTATTTCTTTTTTAACCTAGGCAAGATAATCATAAACAAATTGATGTTACAAGCCTTATGTGATTGTCTCAATAATTTGTATAGCCTGGGGAAGGACTATATATCTTAATCCATTATTGTATCTTTCATTGCTTAATTATGGTAGATGTTCAATAAAGCAGGATGGTTCTTCCATATAATTTTATATTATTGATAAATAACCAAAAGTATCCTCTCCCTGATCACTCATTTGCATATGGTCTACAAAATGTTAATTGAACTATGTTTTCTTCTAGTAAATTCTGCAACAGTGACGTACTTTGACTTTGTCACTACGGAAGCATTGTTAATTTAACTTTGGTACCACTGATTTTTATAACATTTATTTCTGCAGCTTTTTAATCTCCCAGAGCCTTCCATATTATGTTCAATACCTGGCTTTGGTGAGCATTTTCAATGGTAAAACAAACTCATTCCCCTTTTGGTGGGTAGGTTGTGTTTTTTTCCCTTACTCCTGAGTGGGATCTGTGCAAAAGCACAAAGGACTGGTTAAGTTTTCAGTTAAGATGATGGGATGTATGAGATTTATAAATGGAATGGAATGTTGATGATCTAAAAATCCATGGCCTCTGCACAAAAGCCAAGCTAATTTCTAGAACATGTAAGAAAAAGTAAACTTGATTTAATAGATAGGAACATATTACTTCTTTTAAAAATCTATTCTAAATTCTTCCTGGCACTATAACAGACCTTCCCTCTTGCAACTTAGTAGGATTAAGTTTAATAGGATTAAATTTAGTTCTAATTTTTTGAAAAAACTTTTAGAGTAATTTAAAATTTACAGAAAAGTTGCAAAGAAAATACCATGCCCCATGCCCAGTTTTCCCTACCGGCAATGTCTTGTGTTATGTATGTCACAACTAATGACAAATATTGATACATTTAATTAACTGAAGTTCAGTCCTAACATTTTAAAAATACATTATATTGAAAAGAAAATATTTTATATATAATTAATTGATTGTTTCTCAGGTTTAAAATAAAGACCAATTAGAAAATATATGTAGCAAAAATAGCATGCCATATTAATTCGTAAGAAATGATTTTGTGATTCAATACAGGTGACCAGATAGAAATGTATAACAAATATACAGTTTTGTATATGCTATTGTGTTATAATTTATTTCAATAGTATATTTATTTAGACTTTAATGTACCACAACTAAAATAAATTCTGCAAGAAACATTGTGTGCTTAGACGGTTTTGAACAGGGCTGGGCAAGGTGGCTCATGCCTGTAATCCTAGTGATTTGGGAGTCTGAGATGAGAGGATTTCTTGAGCCCAGGAGTTTGAGAACAGCTTGGGTAACATAGTGAGACCCTGTATCTAAAAAAAAGAAGAAAAAGAAAAGAAAAGAAAAAGAAAAAAAGAAAAAATTAGCTGGGTGTGGTAGCTGGGTATGGTGGATACAGTCTATCTGGGACTATAGACTATATGCCTATAGTCCCAGATATGCTGGAGGGAGCAGAGGGAAGCTAAGGCAAGAGAATCATGTGAGCCTGGGAAGTTGTGGCTGCAGTGAGCTGTGGTCATGCCACTGCACTCCAGCCTGGGTGACAAGAGAGACAGAGTGAGACCCTGTCTCAAAAAATTAAAAAAGAAAAACAGATTTTCAACAGAAAGCTATCTTCCCATTTAACTTGAAAAAATTAAGTATTATCTTGTAAGGTCAGTCATCTCAGTAATAACCGTTTACTGAGGACTGTGTGTCAGGTGTTTTGCAAAGTGCTTGACACACATTATGTTCCATCCTATCAACAGCCCTTCCATGTTTGTTTCTATGTTATAGATGAGGAAATTGAAACTCAGCAAAGAATAGAAAGTAGCTTAGGGATAAACAAACAGCCAAGAAATGATCGATACAGGTTTAAAGGAGGAGGAAGAAGGGGTGGGGAGAGGAAAGTGGGGAAGTGGAGAAGGGGAGGAAGAGGAAGAAGAGAAAAGATGTCCAGGGGAAATAATCTCCTAAAGCATAAAGTATGTAATACCACCTCATGTTTGTAACAGGAGATTCAGTACTTAAATCCAATCCTGATTAATGGAATAGAGTGTTTAGTCATCTTTGCATTACGTAAATGAGAGTGATTGGTCTAAACTGGCATTTTTGCAAATTAGGTTTTTTTTCAAATAGTGCTACTGGCAGGTCTATCAGGGAAGTGATATAGAACTGGTTTAATACAAAAGGCTGGCTGGGCACAGTGACTCATGCCTATAATTTTAGCACTTTGGGAGGCCAAGGCAGGCAGATCATCTGAGATCAGGAGTTCGAGACCAGCCTGGCCAACATGACGAAAACCCCATCTTTACTAAAAACACAAAAATTAGCTGGGCATGGTGGTGCATGCCTGTAATCCCAGCTACTCAGGAGGCTGAGGCAGGAGAATCGCTTGAGCCCAGGAGGAGGAGGTTGCAGTGAGCTGAGATCACGCCACTGCACTACAGCCTAGGTGACAGACCTAGACTCCATCTCAAAAAAAAAAAAATGCTACTGTAATGTGTGAAAATTATTAATGAATTTTATGTCACAGGTTTTCATCTTTTGCAAGGGGATGTTTGTGGTAGTTATTTATAAAGAGGCTGAGAGATAAAAATTATATTAAACTGAGTAGTTCTTATAAGGCATTAAAATGAATTATCTTACTACTTAGCAGAATTGTGAGGTTCTGTTACTCAAGATTTCTAAGTGGAGATAGTAGGAAAGTTTTCTTTTGGTTTAGTAATCCATAGATACGTGTGCATCTTTGTGTTATAAGGTAGAGGCTTAGGATGTTTGAGGCTCTTGTTATACTCCTGACCCTGAATTCCTTTCTTGATTGGGAATAGCAAGATAAATACACCTGGGGCACCATCTGGAAATGTATTATCTCTCTTTGATTACTATAATTTCTGTGTCTGATTGTCACAGCTGGAGTCTCTTGAATTTGGGGGCTCCAACAGGGTATTTTTGCCTATTTTGAAAATGTAAGTAACAATCAACATTTATCAATGTTATTTTTAAATGTAAGCATCATACTTTATTTATTTATTTATTTAGAGACAGAGTCTCATTCTGTCACCCAGGCTGGAGTAGAGTGGTGCAATCTTAGCTAACTGCAGCATTGAACTACTAGGGTCCAGTGATCCTTTCACCTCAGCCTCCTGAGTAGCTGAGACTACAGGTGCATGCCACCATGCCCAGCTATTTTTTTTATTATTTTTATTTTTATTTTAAAGACAGGGTCTCATTATGTTGCCCAGGCTGGTCTCTAACTCCTGGTCTCAAGTGATCCTCCCACCTTGGCCTCCCAAAGTATGAGGATTATAGGTATGAGCCTCCACACCTAACCAGCATCATACTTTAGATTCATTCTTCAGAAAATGGTTTTGCTTCAGCATTGTTTATTAAGTAGAAAATAAGTTTCAAAACCAAAGAACAGGCTAGGAAGAGTTTGTTAAAGGGTACAAAATTACAGCTAGATAGGAAGAATGAGTTCTAGTGTTGTACACCACTGTAGATTACTATAGTTAGCAATAATGTATAGCTGCAAATAGCTAGAAGGAGAATATTGAACATTTTAAATATACAGAAATGATAAATGTTTGAGATATTGAATATGCTATTTATCCTGATCCGATCACTATGCATTCTGTGTATGGAAACACTATGTACCCCATGAATATGTATAATTATTTTCAATTTTAAAAAGGAGAGTTAATGCTAAATGAGTTTCTCAGTGGTCTAATTGCTTTTGGATTCAGAATCTCTCTTTTTAATCATCAGATATACAGCTTGAGATTTCACATTTCAGCCTAAAGAAACACAGTAATATTAAGTAAAGGTTTGATACACTGCAGCTGTAACAACAGCAACAGAACGTTTGTCGACTGTTACTCCGTTACCCAAATTGGAAAAGCACATGTATAGTAGTAATTTATGTTTTTGGTAACAGAAGAAGGAAACATAATTTCACAAAACATTTTTATTTTTTTCCAAATAATATTTGAAAAATGAGGATGCTTCTCAGAAGAACCCAAACAAATACTAATCTCGGCCACTATGTTGACCTCTGCAAAGGCAATGTAAATGGGAGAGACCCAGGGAATAGCTTGGTATTTATCAAAGACATCATAATTTGCTTCTTCCACACCATCTCACTAGGACATATGTTTACTGATAAAGACCCAGATACATGAGATAAGTGTTATGGAAAAGAACTAACTTCTTCTGTTAATTGGCAATCCTACTCTTTAGGTAACTGCTTCCCAGTAAATTAAGACCAATCAGTAAGCTTTCTTTGATCAGGTCAGCTAAGAGAATCAGGGGCATCATTTTTCTTAGGAAAAAACTATTTTTAATTATATTCTGTTTTCATCATAATCTCATATACCTTTGGGGCATCAGGAAATCATTATTGCATACCTACTACGTGCTGGGTACTTTTTTATGTACTAAGGAGACAGTAATGAAAAAATAAACAGGCAAAACAAAACAAAACAAAACAAAAAAACCCTTTTTCTCACATATGTACTAATGGGAAAAAGCTAGACAATTGATAAAATATATAAGGAGATTGTATTCTATTCTTTGTTATAATAGATAGTGGTAAATGCTATAGAGAGAAATAAAAAGGCCTAGAGTTTGGGGGCAGTGGTTAAGATTACAGCTTTTAAGGATGAAATCAGGGATGTATCACTGAAGAGGGACAGTTGGATAAAAGTTTTAAGGAGATGAGGGAGTGAGCTTTGCAGATATTGAAGACAGGAGCATCCAGGTGGGAGGAAGCGTGTGTAAAGGCCCTGAGAATGGCACGTTTGGAAGTTTAAGACATGACAGACGACCTTGCACATAGGAGGAATGCAGAGCATATTTCATTAAATCAATAGTAGGCTTCAAGATATTAAGTGTTTTTCCGTACATTATGGTCTAATTCAATGACATTCTTTCTTTACGCACAGGTAATAGGATTGAATTTGACAAGAATATTCAAATATGGTTCACAAACTGAAAACAGTTTGCTTCGTATGTAGGATTTCATATAATTTCAAGCCTTGTTTTTTCATTCACTCTTCATATTAATGCTTTAAACAGTTGTAACTTTCTCTCATAATTGTGAATTGGTTTTTCCAGGAGTGTAATTGGCTGTGAAATTGGACTCTTTTTTTCTTCTGTAAACTGTCTTCATGCTTTGTGGAGAATAGCATTCTCCAATTTCTCTTCCTTCCTTTATTTTTGCTTTGTTGAATAGTTTCACCCAGAAGAGAAAGAGAAAATCCCTGAAAGCATTACACACAAAAGGTCATTTGTCCTATTGCCAGCTCAATGATAAAAGCTCAGAGAGTGAATAGTACTCCCCTGCAAAATAAGCGTTGATAATTGAAACACCAAACAAACAAAATAGATACCAAATTCTTTGAAACAATAGTCTACTGCTGCCCTCTCAAATTGGGATACATTTTTCTTTTCTTACAAATCAAAAACCCTAAAACCCTAAAGGATTCACTCTCCAAAAGCCTTTCTCTTGAGTTTTGTCCTGCAATTTGAATAAGCTCTTTGTCTTCATACTGTCCTCACATTGCTGAGGGAGCTCTGATGAGCATATACCCCTCTTTCCAAGAGGGTATGGTGACAGAGCAGACCCTAGCCCCTGCTGCTGTTCTCTTGCTCCACCAAGAGAATGAGTGGCAGTGTTTTCTGTGAATAAAACAAAAAAATGTAAAGCATACATCAAACTGTACAGTCAGTACTGAAAGTGCCCAAGTGCCATCCTGTTCATGCCGTGAGCTATATGATTGGCCTGGGTGTAGAAGCCTGAAGGTGAATTATCCTGTTGGGTTCAGATGAGTGCAAATTAGCTGCAATTTAAGTATTAAAGTGGATATGAACTTGAACTAGAGTATATCCAATGTGCAAACTAATTGTAGCCATTTTATCTAGCAGGTTCCAAAATTACCCTTGAAACTTAAAACACTTGTTCCTGAAAATTCTTATGAAATAGCCTCTGTTCAAATTAGAAGGGAATAAACCTCATAGAGCTTCTGGTTAAATGTGAAGACATTTACTTTTGGTGAAAAAAAAATGCATCAGCTATTTATATCAGAATATGTGGATTGGAATACTGACTCTAACTCTTAGTAACTAACCCATTTGGGAAATACGCAATAATGAAGTTGGCAGTGTTTTTGGTGTTCTTTCAAACTGGGTTCTGAACTTATTTATTATATGTCTGGCAATGGGAAATTAAAGAAGAAAAATAGATATAGCAGACTTATTCCTGGAAGAGCATCTTGGGAAGATAAGACATATATATGATAGAGATTAAAGAGTAAAGTAATTAATATAATGATTGGTATCACTATAATACCAGAAACAAGGCTTAAGTGCCAAATGTAGAAAATATAATGTTTGAGTCCTAAGGAGGGAGAAATTATGGCACACTGGCAATTCCTAGAAATTTCTCTCTCCAGGGATAAGACTTGGCACTTGACTATGATATGTCAAAGTTAGAACAGAACATAGAGACTACCTGGCTCAGTTTCTCATCACACAGATATTAAGAATTCCACAGTCCCACAAAGCTGCAAGTTAAATGGGCCTGCAGCAAAGACTTCCTAAGCCCTAAACCAAGCAGTTCTTTCCTTGTTTTATGTACTCATTTCTGAGTAAATAAACTCATTGAACAAGCGTTTTGAGTGCCTATATGTTCCAGACGCTGCTCTGAGTGTTGAGAACCAGTGGGCAAAATTTACAAAATCAATTGATGTAATGGAACTAGCTTTCTAGTAGATTATATACACAGTGAGTTTATATTTTTGAAAATAATTTTTCTTAGTGAAAAGAATGTAATGGGGTTGGGGTGGGCAGGTAAGATAGTGAAGGTTTCTCCGAGAAGTTGTCATTCACACAGAGAATTAAATTATAAAGAGTCAGCTATGGGCGGGAAAACATTTCCAGCAGTGAGAAAACAAGGATCAAAAGCTCTGGGGGAAGAAAATGCGACTGGATGGAGGACCCACAGGAGGTATTCCATATCTGTAAACAAAGATATGGAAATGAGAAGCAGTCATTGTCCTGTGATCACTGATTGTTCTTTTAATATAAGTTCCCACTTCAATATGATAAGGACACCCCATTGGGAAGACAAAAAAATACAGTAGATCTTAAATGTTGTCAATATATAGACACATACACACACATAAAAAAAAAAGAGAGAGAGAGAAAGAAAAAACAAGGTAGTGGTAACTATGGGAGGTGATAATATGTTAATTAGTTTAATTGTGATTACTTCACAATGTGTACATATATCACAACACTAAGTTGTTCATCTTAAATAATTTTATTTATAAATGATACCACAATAAAGCTGGAAAAATTAGAAAATACTATACATAACTTGAGGATTCAACTCAATTTTAAAAATTTTCTTTGTACTGACATTTGCCATTCTGTTTATTTTTTGAATATATGTGCCTCTCCCTACTCACTTTATATGAAATAATGTAGTAGGCTGATGGTTGGGGTGGGAGAGATGAACCACTTTTTCATGTTCACACCTGCGGCACCAAAAGCAAAAGAAAGCCTCCAAGGATCACTATCAGGATGCTGGTCCCTGGGACCTTTCCCTGTCAAAGCCCATCTGCCTTCCTAGACACTTTTCTGAGTAAACAAGGGCTGATTTCCAGGCAGCACTTATGTGGTTAGTTTAAATTTTGTACATCAGGGCATTCGAGGGAGACCACATTACCCAGTGGGAGTTTACTTGGCAAAGTACATCCTTCTACAGGAGAATGTAAGAGTTTTACATTACAGGATTCAGCCAGATATGGTGCAAAATGCAATTAACTGGTTATTTTTAAAAACCATACTGTTTTTTTGAGACAGAGTCTCCCTCTATCACCCAGGCTGGAAGACAGTGAGTTGATCTCGGCTCACTGGAACCTCCACCTCCTGGGTTCAAACAATTATTGTGCCTCAGTCTCCCAAGTAGCTGAAACTACTGGCCTGCACCACCACGCCCAGCTAATTTTTGTATTTTTTGTAGAGATGGGTTTTTGCCATGTTGGCCAGGCTGTTCTCAAACTCCTGACCTCAGGTGATCTGCCCACCTCAGCCTCTCAAAGTGCTGGGATTACAGGTGTCAGCCACCATGCTTGGCCTTAAAGCATTTCATTTGAAGTTTTGTCAGAACTGGCAAATATTGGACCCTAAGTTTGATGGAGAAAGGTATTCTGGGCTGCTTTCTTGCCTTTCAGCTTGTTGGCAGTATCATTATCAGAATAACTTCTTCCCTGTTCATGGAAAAAATGTCAATGGCTGCTAATCTGGAAAGAGAATGTGTAATTTAAATGGGAAGGTGAATCATGGTTTGTCCTCCCAAGAAAAAAAAAATGCTTCACTAGAGTTGCAAAGTGGACTTAGGTATTTTCATTTCTTTCCCATGTTGAACAATCTTCACCCTTATGTATTTTCAGAGTATTGTCCGAATGAGTGAAATAAGATGACATTTTATTGGCAGATTTTTCGGATTCAAATGCATATATAGTGCAGGGAATACATTTCTTAATTTGATTGATGAGGATCCGATACACTCACTGTCTCCTCTGAGGAGCAATTGGTTACATGTAGAGCATAACGTAAATAATTTGAATCCATTTTTTCATATATTTTTTAATTGTTGTTTTATTTTTTTTCATAGAGATGGAGTCTTGCTATGTTGCCCAGCTGTTCTTGAACTCCTGGGCTCAAGAAGTCCTCCTGCCTTGACCTCTCAAAGTGCTGGAATTACTGGAATGAACCACTGGGCTTAGCCCCATTTTTCACCTGTAACCTTAGTTTGTACAATTGTTGACTTTTCTGTTAGAAAATAGGGAACCTTCGTATTTAAATAACTTTATAGCAAGTATTGAATGTCAAAGGTTAACTTCAAATAGCAAATGCTTTTTAGTGTTCCTCTACCCAATGTAAAACAACAAAATTAACCAACTTCCAGAGCAGTATAAGAATTCTAAAAGCATCATTACACCCCCTGGCTTTACATTTTACACTCCATATACTGCAAAAAAAGAAAAAAAAGGAAGATTGTAAGATGCTAGTATAACTGATAATTAAGCGACCATTGGTCAACTTGTAATGATCAGGGATGGTTTGGAAGTGGGCATAGAACCAATATTGTTGTAGTAAGAAGTGGTGGCTATGAGGATAGGGAGGTAGTGATGCTGGGTGTGGGCCGAGTAGACTAGATTATTTCAGGTGCATATCTGTAGTCAAGCACATAAAATGTGTAATTCAGAAACTATTACAATATAATATGACTTGCCAGTTTTTATGAGCTGTTAACCCTATACCAAATTCCAATATACTTAGCAGAGTTTTGATTTCTTCTTTCTTCTTGTTCAAGCCCATATGTGTTTATGTCAGGAGTAAACCAAATACTTGGAGGATATAACCACCTACCATGGGTTAAGACTAGAAGACAGTAGAGACTGAAAGGCAAGATAAGGTTGTGTTTTCTCCAGCAAACCTTTGTATTTAAATAACTTTATAGCAAGTATTGACTGTCAAAGGTTGCCTGACTAGGACAGCTTCTTAAATATTGATGGGTTTGATACGGTTTGTCTTAGCTTCTTAAGACATCAAAACATAGGAGAAAGGATGCTGAACTTTGGAGTATTTGTCTTCATTAAATACATGAGTGACAGGTTAGGTGATCTGCTTCTGTGCCAGGTTAAATAATGAACTATAATATTATAGTAGTAATAATAATATCTGCCTTTTGTAAAATGCTTTGTGTACTAAGCACTCGGATGAGTACTTTATATACTTTATCTTCTTTAATCTAAATTACCATGCATGAGACAGCTGCTGTTATTTACAGAGAAGAAAACCCACAACAGGAAAGTTGTGGCAGAAACTTGCCAGGGTCACTAAGCTAGGAAATGGAGGAGCCAGGTTTCATACAGAGCAGTTTGAGCATCAGAAACCAACCAGAACTACAGTTACCTGGCATTGGGTAAACCATGTCATTCTCTGCATTTGTTTCTTTAACTATTAATTTATTTAAAACGTATGCCTCCCTGATGAGGCTGTTGTATTAAGTGAAATAATGCATATAAATGCGGACAGTTCTGCCAGGTGCATGGTAGGCCGGTTTTACCAGCTAGTATGGTGTATTTCTACTACAACTCATTTTACTGGCAGCAGCTCATCTGAAGCTCTGATTGTTTTAGAGCATTTTGATGTTCCTTTGAATAGATTAATTTAGATCTGACGATAAGATGTTATAACTAAGACTCTAATTCTGATACAATCACCCAAACTAGTATATATATATATATATATGTGTGTGTGTGTTTATATATGTATATATATGATATAAGGATATGTGATATACAGAGAATATGATGGTATGTATGTATATACATACAGTTGACCCTTGAATGACACAGGAGTTGGATCTGTCCCCCCGCACAGCCCGCACAGCTGAACATCCACGTATAACTTTCAATTACACTCAAATTGAACTACTAGTAGCCTACTGATGAGGGGAAACCTTACCTATGACAGGAAAATTCAATGAACACATATTTTGTATGCTCTATGTATTATATACTGTATTCTTACAATAAATTAAGCTAGAGAAAAAAATTGTTATTAAGAAAATAAGGAAGACGAAGTATATTTACTGTTCATTAAGTGGAAATGGATCACCATAAAGGTCTTCATCCTCACTGCCTTCAAATTGAGTAGTCTGAAGAAGAGGAAGGGTCTTGCTGTCTCAGGAGTGGCAGAAGTGGAAGAAAATCCATGAATAAATGAAACTGTACAGTTCAAACCTAGGTGTTTTCAAAGGTTAACTTTATACATATGGGTGTGTGTTTTCTAATTGCTGATGGAAATTATATACTTAAACCATTGTTATTTTGACCTGTCGAATTTTCTCTTAATCCCTAATTTAGAAGAATTTTTGAAAAAAAAAATCCCTAAGTATCCTGAAAATAGACTATGATTTTCACATCCTTTAAAAATTGATGTATAGGGTGTGAAAATGAAGCCAGACAAAAGAAATGAGATCACTTCTTTTTAAAATTAAACTTTGTCATTGTTTGTACTAGCTATCCTACAGCCCCAATATAGTTTTGAAATTGAATAGATTCCTAATGGAACTGTAACCCATCAAAATGTGTTTCCTGAAGCTTCACAAAACTGCATGGACATTTCGACTTATAATATAACAGGTGTATAAATATATTTATAATTTAGGTTATACCACTAACTTCTTCCTTACACAAGTTCTGTGGTGAGACTGCCAGAGTTTGAATCTTGCTTCACCACTTATCAGCATGTACTCCTATGCAAGTTGTTTAGATTCTCTGCATTTGACGTGCTCACCAGTGAAATGGAGATAATAAACCCTTAAGTAATTAGGGTTGTCATGAGCATTAGCGTTTATGTGCCTGCCATGTAGGAATCCTCAGTTAATGTTAGCTGCTATTAATACAATTATTATCAAAATCATTATTATAATTCTCATTTTTAAAAAGTAGTTTATTGAAAACAACACTGAATTAGTAGACAAATCCTATGTTTAACCTGAAAGGTGTGTTACTGTCTCAACATTATGATTTTCTCATCAATAAAATAGAAATAATAATACTTGTCTTGGCTATCTCATTGGATTATTCTGAGAATCCAATGAGATGCCATTGGTGAAAGTGATATGAAAATTGCTAAATGTTATATAAACATAAAGTGATATTTATGTTATATTAAAGAATGAGCCTGAGAGAAAGACTGAAGAAATGTTTCATGAGGGGGTGAGGCAGTCCCTTTTAAGAGAAGCAGGAAGAAGTTTTCACGAGCTCTTGGGTACAGGCAGGTGAAAAGCTGAAACTCATGCTGAAAATGAGAGAATATCAAAAAGGCATGAACATACTGATATGGCAGATTTCTGTTTGACACTTAGGGAATATGAAATGCATTTTACAAAGAAGCATAGATGAGATAACAAAGATTATAGTTCATAATGGGGGAGGATTTCTTACTTTCTGTTTGGCAGATTTTGAATTTCTACTAGTACCTTAATCAGATGATGTAAGATAGATATATTATTGTGGAGAATTCACCTTTCTGAGATGTGCAGATCAGCTTGGCATATATTGCAAGCCCTGAGAAAAGTACTGGCTTAAAATTTCTTATCTACCGGAAAGCATACGAAATATTGTGAGAGTGGAGAGAGAAAAAGAAGATTGAGAGAAAAGGAGAGAGAGAGAAAATGGGGTAAGGATGTCAAAGTTTCACATTTGTTGGTTTCTAGCAAAGGGGCAGTATAAAGCAATTTGTAGTTGTCACATTTGAACACATAAAATTAAAATTTTTTCAAAAAGCAATTTGCTTTATTGATGGTTCCATTTTTACTTTTGTAAATTTCTGAGTAAAACATACTTTTTAATCTTTTCTGACAATCCTTTCTATCTGAAAATCTGAGCTATTTATCAGAAATCATGTCAGCCATACACTGTGCCATGTGATATTTTGCATTTATATTGAGTCCTTCAATCAATAAAAAATATATTAGAGTGCTTTAAGAATCACCTTACAGAGTAATGAAAGGAAATCAGTTTAAAACTAAGTGGCTTTTGATATTTTACAAGGTGCACTGTATAAATTTAATACCACCCAGAAGAATAGGACTCTTGAGGCTGAGACCAGGCAGTATGTTGGAATCTGGGAATTATGAAGTGTTTAATGCTGAAAGATGCCTTAGACATTATCCAGGTCAATATCCCTATTTACAGATGAGAAAATAGAGCCACACAATGGATTAATTCAGTGATTCTATTTGCAAAGTATGGTTTCTGTAGGATCAGTATGACCTAAGAACACATTAGAAATTCCAATTCCAGGGGCCTATTCCCCAGACCTACTGAAACTCTGGGATCAGGCCAGCAATCTTTTTTTGTTTGTTTGTTTTTTGAGATGGGGGTCTGTGTATTTTAAGAAGCCCTCCAAGTGATTCTGATATGCACGATAGCTTGAGAACCACTGGACTGGCTTTTAATTTTTCTAACACCTACCCCAATATTTTACGCATTGTACCATGCTGCTGCTTCTCTTTCAATCAAAGTTTTACTCTTTAGAATTGAGGGGAGTAAGAATTAAACTCAACTGTGTCCACGTATACCAAAATAGTGGGAAAATCAAGGAAATAATTTTGTAACACAGCTCTTAAAACAACTGTCAGACTCGAGAATTGTTAGATGAAAGTAGTATTCTTAAGATTTAACATTGTAGATAACTGTCTCATTTCCCTACTCCACAGAAACTGATTAAACTACAATCTCTAAGAGATATTCAGGAACACTGCTCTAGCCTCATACTATTTAGAAATAGCCCTAATATTTTGATTGAAATGAGTCAATCCTATATCACTTCACCTGTCTTGCATCCAGATTAACAAAGAACTGCAAAGGCTGGTAAACAGAGCCCCAGCCATCTTTTGAGTTTTCTCCCTTGCCCTGCAAATACAAACACTTCCTTAACTATCCTGTAAGCTCATGTGTAATGCTCTGAATACTTAATGGGTATTTTAGGATGCTGAGTATGGGAAAAATAAGAATTAATACACATTGTATTTAATCACTAAAAGATTACTATTATTGAACTCTGAATGATATATAAATTTTCCTTTTGGTTGGTTTAAATGGGTTTACTTAGATTCATTATAATTCTTCCATAAAATAATTGTAATGGGCCTTTTGCAAACAAATCAGGTACATGTTTTTCATCAGTGAATTCAAGAAGAAACAATGAGAATCTTCTTTGGAGACAGAAACCAATTTACCATGAAGCTAATAAACCTTAAACTCAGTGTCCTTCCAAAATCCAGTGCCTAATTTTGGACTTATAATTTTGTATTTTTTTTCTTGAACAGAGCCTCCTGAATTCTATAAGCTTTAGGCCCCACATAACCTTCAGCTATGGAGTCTTAGTTACTCTGTCAGTGAGCAGAAATACTTTACATGTTGAACTCGGTAAAAGTCTTTCTGTTTATGCTCAATGAACATTGAACCAAAATGAGCACCCGTGCCAGTTTAAAAGCAGGTAGAAATTGTTTGTATATAAGCACCTTGACAGTTGTGAGTGGTTTTCGATTAGCATTAGACTGGGTTGTAAACCACTTCTTTAGCATTTTAGATTTCCTTTCTCTTGAATAGAAATAGACAAGAAGCACTTAGCAGCTTACCACAACATTAGGCAATGAAGTGTGTGTTCACACATGTAAAAATGTATGTCTCTAAATGCTTTCAAAAGGAGGGCAACTTTACTGTCGATCAGTTCTGGCCCCAGGAATTCAAAAACACTTCTTAGTTTAAACATTGGAAGAGAAAGCATCTGGATTCAAATCTGAAATAAATGACAAATGCGTATTAAATAGATATTTATTTGATTTGTGTGGCTCTCATCTCTGATGTCTTAGAGCAACAGCATAATTTACATCTTCATCTTAGTGAAGGAACTTTTTTTCATCACTGAAAGGAGACAAAAAATGATTCAGTTGTAAATATGACCTAGTTTAAGTAGATTTGGATGTTATAGCTAATTTAAAAATTCCAAAGGGGAGGGTTGCATGATTGCTATGTTCTTTTCTGGTTATCATTTTAAAAATTGAAATGTTGCCAGCAATGCTTTTAGGTTAGTCAAGGATAGGGAGGGGAGGTATGAAGGAGAAACAAACCATGTCATATCTCTAAATAATAACGCTGTTAAGCAGGCAAATGGTAGCACTCAACATTCCAACTCACTCTGATGTGTTAATATATTGAGGCTTTAGATTCAATTGCTCTAGAGTTTTAGACTCATTACCTCTTTTCGCAGTGTTACTGTTAGCTAGTTGTCATCTAGTCCAAGAAATTAGTCTCTTTGAACCTCAATTTCTTCAACCATCAAAGATACATAACACCTACTACAGATGTGTGAGAATCAAGTTATGTTAAGCTTCTAGGATGGTATCTGGCACACAGTCAATAAATACAAAACAGACTTTATAGCCTTCTCAGTGAATAAATCTGAAGCACATTTTATATACATGAGATCACCTGGGGGGAACTAGGTTGAGAATTAAAGTGCCTCTTGCCTATGTGTGTCTATATTTGGGTAACAAAAGCCTAGAGCTTTTGCTGACATAGTTGAAGGAGTAAATGGTGAGAGCAGGAGAGACAAGTAACTGCCATGCTCTTCTTGTGAACTTTTGATAACATTACAGATGATATAGTCACTTACATGGAATTGGTTGTACTTTGTCTTGATACTCTACTTTAAAAGCTGGTAGCTTGTTAAATGTTCTGCCATTCACGGCTACAAGTGAGAGCTGTGAGTTCCCGAGGGAGCCCTATATACAGTGATGCCTGTGGTACTGAGAAACTAAGCTGGGTTCCAGAAGTTTATTAATGCTTGCTTTCAAAGTGACAAGGGGGATCACAATGTAAGATTACAGTATTTGTCATCACCTTCTCTTCATTTTTCTTTACTCTCTTTCAATAAGAAGTTGGCCTTTTGGTTAGGCCTCTCCAGATGGTAATATACTAGCGTAAGATTCCAGTAAGACCAACACCACACTGCAGTTTGAGGTGTGTTCCATGGCTCTGCCAATGTTGTGTTTTCATTTTTTAATTACTCAACAGTTTGCTACAACGACTGAGATCTCTACCATAGAAATTGCTTCTTGGATTGAGATATTCTTTCCAGAATGTCACAGAAAAAGTTTTATATTTTACCTGGGTTGATTTAACTTCATCGGTGGGAAGACCTGATTCTTCTTTTTATAGAGATGTATATAACTCATTGTGATTAGTTCCTTTTATCCTTGCTACCAGGAAAACAATGGTAAATTGAATATATAAAAACTATATAGATTATAATCAATAAGTTTATATACATGTGTATAACTGTCCCACTTTTGCTATATGAGCCCGCTCATGGCTTCATCATTTTTTTAACCTAGAACTTTTCTTCAACTCCTAAGGACCTGCACAACTTTGAGAATGGAGCCATTTTAGAGACCTATAATATATTAATTCTAATACACTATCACTAGTCATAAGAACAATTTTAAAAATAGATAGGTTGAAATTTTAGAGTTAAGTATGAAACAAATCAGTAACTTTTTATTAAATTTGTATTTAAACTTAAAAGTTTTAAAGATAGATTATATACAAATAATACATATTCATTGTTATGAAAATAATACAATAAAGAAAAATACAAACATATTATAACAATTAATATTCACTTAGGTCTTACTGTGTGCCAGGAACTTGGCTAAGATATTACATCATGAGGTAGGCTTTGTTTTTCCCATATCACAGATAATAAAATGGCAGCTTCAAGAGGTGAAGTAACTTGCCCATGGTCACGCACTTTGTAGTGAAGCTGGAATTTGAAGTTAGGTACCCTGATTACAGAATTGTGATTCTCAACCACTATATTACAAATCCAACCCAATTTATAACTCTTTATTAGCATACTTCGAAACAGTTATGTGTATGAATATGTGTATGCCCATACATGTATAGTGACATAAAATTATATATAATGATATCTTACTTTCCATGTTGTTATGTACACTACCTTTTGTTCAACAATGTATCATGGGCTTTCTCCTCTATATAAAAGGATTGATATACATACATAATATTATATTCTATATCTCAAAAATAGCAGGGCCCTTTTGATGAATATGTGTTATGTCCTATTTCACAAATAGAGAGGTATAGATAATTTCCCTAGAATATCCTTTTACAGATCCTTTATACACTGATGATTTGTTTCCTTGGAGTAAATCCTAATAATGGGAATAGTGGGACAAAGGACATACCCATTTTATGTTGTGGCACATCCATCTAAGCAACCAAACAGGAAGGCTTTGCAAATGTATCTTCCCAGCAACAAGGTAAGAGAGCAATATCCCATTCCTAAGTGTTATTTTCAAAATTAGATTATATCAATATTTTTAAACTTTGCTAACTGTAATTGTTTGAGGATGGAATTATTTTCTTTTTTTTAACTGAATTCTAAATGTGATAGTAATTTTTTTCATTTTCTATTGTCATTTGCGTCTACTTGGGGAATTAATGAACTTGTGCTTTTAAATAGCCTTATGATCCAAATAAATATTTTTACAAGCTTAAACTATTAGAATCCCATAATATTAGCAAAATGTACAATACTTTTCTGTTTCACTTATGTTGCTCACTTCAAAATCTAATACTTTTTTAAAAAATAGAACTATCATACTTGGATTCTATAAAGTTTACTATCAAAAAGTTTAAGGTAATCACTTACCATTTCTGAGATGGATTAAAATGTTATAGTACAGTGTGGATTCATATTGCTGTGAAAGTCACTTTATCTAAAAGCTTTTCCTGGAGGAACTTATGGTGAGATAAATGGTTTCATATTTTTGGTACGTTATTTCCCATAAAGCAATATATTCCAAATGTGTTAGCATTGTACACTTGCATCATATTAGTCAATCTGCCAACCTAAAAAAATGTAAAAAGCAAAAATATTTCCCATGTAGTATTACCATAAAAAGCAGTAACTCACTAGTGTTTTTATTCAAAACACAAATGTGAAGACATACTGAATTTAAATCAACTATATTACTTTATTTTGCTGTTTTAAAATAATACTAATGTTGTATAGTCTTCTTACAATTATGTGCATTTCCTTTTTGCATGTATGAAAATCCTAAATGTGGTATTCCTATCGAAATGCTGACTGGTGAAAAGAAATAGGCACAGTATTGAAATTGCATCATGATAGAGGATCTAGATAAGTAGTTTTGAATATTTTCATTACTATCACTTTTACCACTTACAAGTCAGTTTTGTGAATCAATCAGGTTTATAAAATAAATATCTTGATGGAATAAGATATTTACCAAGTTACACCATCCTATAAACAAAAGCATTCAAAACCTGAAACAGCTGATGTCTTGGAGTTTTGTTTTGGTTACCTGCAGTTTGGTTTTGATTACCTATGTTTATTCTAGTTTCATATCCCATCTACATTTGTCTAAGCTACTTTACATCATTGGTTACTTACTTAGTCCCTCTTCTGTGGTATTTCCGTGCTTCCTGGAATATTGTTCATTCAATATATTCAATTGACAGGCAGTTTTTTAAACTTTGGTTCAGTAACAGAGGTACTAAATCACCTGGAAGTTGTTTCTGTGACTAGTAGGCTACACTGAAATTAACAGATTTGTTGTTCGTTAGGATTCTCTAATCATGTTCATTTTCAGGATATAATAACAGTCCAGAGGCTTGTAAGTTGTAGTCTATTAAATCCCTCTTCCTAGAGAGTTGATAAAACAGGAACATAATGCTCTTCATTCCTATTTTCTTCTCTGGATATTTCTAACAATTTCATGATAAGTCCTAATAGATAAATCTAAGCACACTTCAATTAGATTATTGGTAAATAGCAATCCTTACCAAAATTGCCTTTTCTACTCCTTTAGCTTGAAGACTTAACTCCAAGTGGTCAAATTAATAACCTGAATTTTTAAATGTGATCATTTCCTTCACAAACCATACTATTTTTAGGTTGTAATTCATACTCATAATTTTTTCTAAAGATAATCATTTTTCCTTGTCATTTTCTGTTTTTAAAGACATTCTTCTGTCCAATCCTCATCTTTTGACAGTCCAAAATTTTGTCCGTCATGACTGGATTTTTCATGGTAAGTGTAGAAGTATAGAGAAACAACCTATAATGGATCTATCCCTCTTTGCTGGGCAGTGGTGAGAGGGCACCATTGAAGTCTGTCTTCTCACAGGGCCAAGAACTTCAGGATTAGTGAAACCAAGAGAAGGCTGATGCTTTCAAATACATATGCCCCTTAACTAAGCCATACTGTCAGCAATAAATCTTCTATTTATCCTTTAATGTCTTTTAATAATAGCTTTGAAATGGGCTATTAATGCCAACATTTTCAATAGAGTCTGTTAGAAGACACCATGTTACTCATGCTAGCTCTGTATGCAAGTTTACATTAATTACAGTGATTTTCTTTCTACTTTTTATTTGAGAATCTTTGAAATAATTATGTTTTAATGAGATTGGGACCAACCATAGACCATATAGCATATTTAAATCAGTTTTGTGTTGTGAACTTTTGTCTTAATTTTACCTGTGTGTTGCCATTTAGCCATTTTTCCAGAAGAGTTTGGAATAAGTTCTGTTGGTTTTTTTTTTTTTTTTTTTTTTTTTTTTAGACAGAGTCTCACCCAGGCTGGAGTGCAGTGGCATGATCTCAGCTCACTGCAACTTCTGCCTCCTGGGTTCAAGCGATTATCATGCCTCAGCCTCCTGAGTAGCTGGGACTACAGGTGCGTGCCACCACGCCCAGCTAATTTTTATATTTTTTGTAGAAATGGGGTTTCACCGTGTTGGCCAGGCTGATCTTGAACCCCTGACCTCTAGTGATCTGCCCACCTTGGCCTCCCAAAGTGCTGGGATTACAGGTGTGAGCCACCACACCTGGCTGATTTTATTATTCATAATGGATGTCTTAGTAATTCTGGGGGAGTTTTGTGAAATGCACATGAAATTAATACACATATAGAAAAGATGAAGTGTGATGTCTTCAATACATTTGCAATTTTTAATTATCTCTCACTATGAAACATTAACATAAATGTTTCCTTTGTCACTGAGTTTTGTGATACTGTTAGATTAAGGAAAATAAAGTTTCAGAAAGACTAGCATGTCACTTATAATACCTAAAAGTGAACATATCTTTTAACAAAATGTTATATCTTAATTATACCATATTTACCAATTTTTATTTGGAATACAAAGTCACAAATGGAAGAGAAAAAGCCAACATAATATTTTGATTAGATTTCATGAAGTCCTTTTCTGATCTATTAACTATATGAGGAGACTGGCTATTGTTAACTACTTCTAGGGTAATAATTTCATTTTCACTATATTTCCATTTAATTTATAAATGTTGATATTTGTGTCAATAAAGTTCTCCTATGACTATTAGCACTTACAGATTTTAGCAATCCTCACAATCACTTTTTATGTGAAGAGTCTTGAATTTAGCATGTAAAACATCTAGTATAAATTAAAAGAAAATGTAGATTAAATGGATATATGAAATCAAACTGTCTTTCACTGGGAATTGGGATCTGGCAGTTACATTTTAATATATGTTTTCTTTAAAATCCTTCCACATCCCATTCTTCTCTCTCTACCTCTCTGGAAGTAATAACGCTTCTCCAGTTGGTCTGCATCTTTCTCATCCACATTCTCATATTTTTACTACATATGTGTTTGTCTGTACACAAAATATAGTGTTTGTGAGTGTTCATGAGATTTATAAATAGGTGCCACAATCTTTGTATCCTTCAGCAACTTGTCTTTGTCACTCTCTGTTATGTTTTTAAGATATATCCATGCTGTTATGTGTATATATAGTTTGTTAATTTTAAGTTCTATTTCATAGTCTATTGCAAGGTACAATGCAGTTTGTTGATCTTTACTTATTGTTAAAACTTTGAGATCATTCACCCAAATTTTGTTATTACAAACAACATTACAATTATTATTCTTGCATGGGAATTCTGAAATTCTGTTATCCTATATTCTTGCCAACACATGGTATTATTAGACTTTAGCCGTTGACAGTATAATAGATTTGAAATGGTACCACTTTGTACTTTTAATCGGTATGTTTCTGAATTAAAAAAATTATTTTTCTGTGTTAAAATATTTTAAAAACATTATTAAGCTTTTATACCACTCCTCTTTCTTGAAAATGCCATTTTCATGGAAGAGAATTAAGCTCTTGTCCAACACTTACCTACATTAGCTTAATATACTTAAACAGCCTTTTGTCTTCCATAAGAAGAAAGAAAAGATCAATTTGAGGGGCAGCTATTTTTTATTAAATGTAGAAAAATTATATTCTTTTTTTTTGTATATTATGCAACTATGCTTTTTCTAAATTAGCTCACTGGAGACAGAAGGATTCATGTCTTTAGCTTTTTTATTTTTGTTTTTAGAGAGATCTGTCAATTAGAGTGAAATGATTAAATCATCACCTACTTGACACCAAGCGGGGTGGTCTCCTACTTCCTTAGTATTTATTGCGGGATCTGGCCAGCAGCCCACAATGCAATGGGGCTCTTTCTTTGTTCCCAGGTGGATCAGCAGGTCGAGAAATAATAGACACGCACAAGATAGTGAAAGCTGGGTCCAGGGGGGGGTCACTGCCTTCTGGTCCCACGATGCCTCCAATGCACTGGATATACCAGCATTTATTAAGTTTAGTGAGGGCAGGAGTAGGTTAGTGAGGGATTTAGGGTCATTTGACTATGAGGTGAGATGGTCACATGGGGATGAAGTAATTCTTTAACATAACATCTGTATGCAGAAGTACAGTATACAGAGATAAGAATTTACAATATAGTGTGTGCATCAGTAATTTCCAACAGAGCCTTAAAACAGAAACGCAGTCTTTCCATAACCTATGATTAGCAAGATATTAATCAGCAGGAACAGTTGCAGCAAAAGCTGGTTACAAACAATCCATAGAAACAGGACGTGAAGCTAGACAACCGGTTATACCAGAAATTCTCAGAAGGGAGTATGCCCTAACCCTAAAGAGGCCTAGAATAGCCATGGCAAGATGAGGGCATTTATAGCCCTATCTTATCCATATGGACAGGTGCCCCTCATGCGTCTGTTTATAGGCTCTCCACAAGGGTCGCATTCCATTCCCCGAGCTATGAACATCTGCTTTTCTGGGATAGGAATCTTGGTGATGTGAAACCTCCCTGACTACATGTCCATTCATAGGCTCTCTGTAGGGGGAAGCACGTCACGCGCTGCTGGCTCATTCTGGCAGTCCAACCTGGCATTGTCTTTACACAATCTTGCATGCAATTTTATATTTACAATAATCAGGAGCATTTCATCTTTTATTCCATAGCAATAGTTTCAGGGGGTCTCCCTACAAGTATTACATACTCTACCTACACAATCCTGCATGCAATTTTATATTTACAATAATCAGGAGCATTTCATCTTTTATTCCATAGCAATAGTTTCAGGGGGTCTCCCTACAAGTATTACATACTCTACCTAGTTCATCTTAAACACACTCCAATGAAGGAATAAGTACATTAAAAAAAAAAATGGGCTGGTCCTGCCTTTTAAATGGTCCACAAAGCACGTTTGTTTAGAATTTGGAACCTGTATTTTTCTAGAAGGAATATGCTAAAATTTAAAGACTAAGTAGAGACTAACTGTTCAGGTAAGTTCTTAAATTAATGTAACTGAAAAAAGGATTGAATTGGCTGAAAACAAATTTAACTGCTATTCTGCTATGATAGCCTCAGAACCTGAATAGTGAAAAAATAAAATAAATGAGTAAAAAACAATTGAATGACTAATCTATAATATTCTCTTCTCTGAGAAAATGTATTATGTAAGCCGTGCTTGTTCTTGGGGCTCTAAAGAGAGTTTGCCTGTGACCTCTGCAGTGAGAGTAGCTGCTTTTTTTCTTTTTATCTTTTTTTGTAATTTAAGTTCCAGGGCACATGTGCAAGATGCACAGGTTTGTTACATAGGTAAACGTGTACCATGGTGGTTTGCTACACCTCTCAACCCATCACCTAGGTATTAAGCCCAGAGTGAATTAGCTATTTTTCTTGATGTTCTTCCCTCCACCCACCCTCCCTGACCCTCCCTGTATCCATGTGTTTTCATTGTTCAGCTCCCAGTTATAAGTGAGAACATGCAGTGTTTGGTTTTCTGTTCCTGTGTTAGTTTGCTGAGGACAGTGGCTTCCAGCTTCATCCATGTTCCTGCAAAGGACATGATCTCATTCCTTTTTATGGCTGCATAATACTCCATGATGTATATGTACCACATTTTCTTTATCCAGTCTATCATTGATGGGCATTTGGGTTGGTTCCATGTCTTTGCTGTTGTGAATAGTGGAGAGTAGCTGCTTTTAATATATGTGAACCATTAGACAGAGAAACCGTCATGGGTAATTTATTGGGAATTCCATGGGATTTTTACCATATTGAGTTCATAAAAAAAGAAATATGAATACTTTCCCATTTAGCTGTGAGATTATTTGCATAATATTGTCAGCCACCAAATTAAAAGATAAATTGGAATCACAACTATTATTTTACTACTTTACTGTTTTGAACTTAATTCAACCTGTAGTGATGTAGCTGGCAAGACTTATGTTTGTTGGAAGATACAGTTGATTTTGACTTTACATAGTAGTGTATCTAATTGTCATATGTAAAATACTTTATAGATAAAATTATGTTTCTATATAGGAGAGTACACAGAAAGAATATAGCACAGTAGTAAGCTATTTTGTAATCTGAACATTTTTAAGTTCAAGTTTGCTTTTCTCAAAACTGAGTGCAAAGAGAGCCAGGATAAAGTTAAAAAGACATGGGCTTTAAAGTCAGATGATGTTTATTAAAATTCTATCTCCATTATATGAATTTAGGCAATTTCTTGACTTCTCTGAGTCTTTTCTGAGTCAAATTCTCTGTCGATGAAATATTAATAGTTAAAAGTTGTTTACTATTTCAGACTCGAATTCTGCTATCTCATCATTGTTTAGTCTTCTCTATTCATTAAATGAAAGCACCATCTGCTCTATTGCTCAGACCTAGACCAAAGATGTTTCCTTCATTCCTGTTTTTACTCTAAACACATGAAACCCATTAGTAGGTCCTATCTGCTTTTCTACCAAAACATCTTCACAATGCATTCCCTTTTCTCTATCTACACTTCAGCATTCTATCTAGACCATCATCTTCTCTATCTAGAATATAGTGCAGAGAGTATGCCATTTACCTTAGTCTTCAGTGACTTAAAATTTCATAAGCAAATGTCAGGATAATTTTGAAATAATTACTGGAAAAGTGCTAACTGAGGCAGAAAATCCTTTTAATGTGAGTAGGATGAATTATACCTCAGATGCCCTTAAGGTTTGCATATATACTATAATGGAGCAGAGACAAAGTTTTGTATTGAATGCTTCATTTTTCTTAGGATTAATTCACAATATTTAATGGTATGGCATATAGTATAACACGGGAACTTTTTCTCACTCTCTTTTTTGAATTGTGAATCAATTCTGTTGAGCTAAGGCTTTGCAAATCTTTCGATGGGATATAAATTAGAGTAAGAACTGGAATTCCACAGAGCATAATCTACCTCTAGCACTTATAGCACTTAATCAGACATTTGTAGTCAAATTACTTCCATTTACTTATTTTTCCACTCAGAAGTAACATTTCCCAGGTATTTTTGGAGAATTAATTAGTTTCCATTAATTAATTTGTTTCCACTATAGCTTTAATAACTCTGTTGAACCTCAGGGTAACTCACTGTAATGGTGTGGACCTAATTTGCCAAGTGCAATGCAATAGCCTTTTGTTTGAATAGAATTCTTCTGTCAATGTCAGTCAATTAACTAAAGTGATTTTTAAATGCCTACCTTATGAGCCACTTTGTGCCAGGGCCCTGTAGGGACTCCAAGAATAGACTACTACATTCCTAGATTCAAAAACTAAAATCTAGTTGGGAAGAAAAGAGCAACTTACAAAATCATCTAAAAGGAATATAATATATAATTAAGATTCTGCAAAGTGTAATATCAAAGTAATAAATGATAGGAAAATTCTCAGGGTAGTTGATACCAAAGTTCAACAGAGTTCCATTCTCATAGTGCACCCTACTAAGTAGAAAGTTACTTACCTGTTTATCATCCCGCCTGACCTATTCTTAGTTGTCAACATTTATGGAGTGTCTGGGGGAAAGAAGAAGGGGCAGAGAGAGGAATAACAAAACAAATTGTTTCTGAGTACCTAATAAATTTCAGTTACTTATGTCTACATGTTTTATCATTTAATCTTAATAATTATCTGGCAAAATAGGTTTATTTGTGCACGATTTACAGTTCAGAAAATTGAGGCTCAGAGAAGGGAAAGAACTTACACCAGATAGTTCAGTTAGGAAGACTTAGGCTTCTCTTTACCAAGCTACTTTCTTTCTGCAGCATCATATAACCTACCAGTTAAAACAAACAAACAAAACTCTATAATAGCAATTCAGTACAAAGAAGAATTACTGTAGGTGTTTTGAGAGGATTTGGTTAGTTTCTTTTCATTAGTTTCCTTTATGATTTACCCCCGATAAGTTTAAGAATAACAAGTGATAGAATAGGTCTTATTAGCAAAATGCATGATAAAATGGAGTAATCAAATCACCATTCAATAGGACTCCTGGTCTCTTCTGTCAAGAAATTCATAAACTTAACATGAGATGTAGATAAACATAATGAATTATAAAACAGGGAGCATCAACAGTAAAATTTAAGAGTGAATCTTCTCTTTCTGTGACTACTGTCTTCTTCATAATCACTTAAATTCTTTCTCAAAAGGGTAGTTTGATCAAGGAAAATAAAACTGGAAAGATAAGGTAGGATCATGCTCCTTTGCATAATTTATAAAAGAATAATATTAATATTCAAAGCTGATTCTGGTTGCTAAAATATTTTGGTGATTTACACAATATTGCAGTAAGAATATGTTTCCCATATGACGTTACACTTTCTCAAGGAGTAACAACTTGGTGCATTATTTTATTCATTCAAAACTAAACTAATTGTCTTAATTTTAATATTACCTACAGATGGCTTAAAGTTATCTAAGAAACTTTTATAATATGTTTATAACATAAATACTTGCCCATTTTCTGCGAATTCCAGGAGCTTTCTCAATGAACTTAAAAGAGAACTACCATTCAATGCAGCAATTCTGTTACTGGGTATATATCCAAAAGAAAATAAATTGGTCTACCAAAAAAGCACATGAACTTGTACGTTCATCACAGCACTATTCACAATAGCAAACATGTGGAATCAACCTAGGAGCCCATTAGTGGTGGATTGGATAAAGAAAATGTGGTGCATATACACCATGGAATACTACACAGCTATAAGAAGGAGTGAAATCATGTGCTTTGCAGCAACGTGAATGGAGCTGAGGCCCATAATCCTGAGCAAATTAACACAAGAACAGGAAACCAAATACCGCATGTTTTCACATATAAGTAGGAGATAAACATGATAAACGGGTACACATGGCCGTAAAGATAAGAACGCTAGACACTGGGGACTAGTAGAGTGGGGAGGTAGGGCAAGAGGACAAGGTTCAAAAGCTACCTGTTGGGTACTATGCTCACTAGCTGGGTGACAGGATCAATGATACCCCAAGCCTCGGTATCACGCAACATACCCATTTTACAAACCTGCACATATACCTTCTGAATCAAAAATAAATGTTGAATTTATAATAAGGAAAAGTAAAGAAAAAGACAGGTGATGTTGGCATTGTGGAAGCCTTGAAATCCAAGACAGGAAAACATTCATCTTTAATTTGTTCAGCTATAGGGAGCCACTGAAGGTTTACAGACATATTACATACTAAAGCTATAGTTTTGAACAATTAGACTAAAAATGATGGCATATGGATTAGAATTGGAAGGAACAAACTTGGACACCACTGTAGCATTTCAGGGAAAAAGTAGTTAGATGGTGGAATGATGATAAAAGGAAGAAATTGACATGAGGTATCTTCTGATGTGTTGTATTGAGGCCTAAAATGGACACATTTTATAACTTTTCAGTTACATGTTCATATGTGTTTATGCATTTCCTGCAATGATAGAATTTCCTTTTTGTTCTCCCTTCACATTTATTAAAACTTTATTAAAATGTTAGCCTCCTTTAGCTAAGCTAAGTCTTCCCCAACAAAGTGGTTTTGTCCATGCTTAGGTTAGAGTTGTAAATGTTAAAAGTAGCTCTGTTTAAAAATTTCTGAGCACAAATTTACAAAATAAGTTTTTTACTGATGACAGAGAGTATCTGTGCTATTTTTCCTACTGTCTGATACCCAAATTATGTTCACATTTTTAGCCAATTCAAATAGTAGCAACTGAAAGAAGAGATAGTTGATATATACTCCTAATCTTAGAGGAAGTTAACGTATTTAAATTTCCTGCAGCTGTTCCTGGTATGAGGAAAAGGATGTACATGTATTCCTGTCTTCCTGACTTGTATTATTATTCATGTCTCAAGATAGACTAAGCATTTCTCAAGAGAAATCTAGTCATTTAAGTGTGGCATATTTTATAAATACAAATATAAGAATCACTGATTAATTCACAAACTGTGTACTCAAACCTCACTAAAAATGGGTCTCACTGTGTCCTTTAATATTCACTTATTAAACGTTTTTCTAGGAACAACATATTCAGACGGGCCTCATTTTTTTGTCATCTGAGAAATGTAGGAACTGGCTCCTTCTAGTTGGAAGACTTCTAAAACTTAAATCCACTTCTAAATACTCATAGAGAGACCATCTTTCTTTCCAGAGAAAATAACAATAATATTAATAGTAGTAATAATGGAAGAAAGAATAAAACTGCAGAAAGGGAATTTTTCCTAAAGCGAAGCTGTAATGAATAGCAGCAGTTTTATTCTTCCTTAAGGTGTATTTGCATAGTTGTAAATTACGCATGTCAAACACCAAACAAATCCTCATTCCGTGTCAGGATTTTAACTCCTTACCCAAAGCCAAGTGTACATTACAGTGAGTCCATAGAGAGTCTATGTTTTTAAGTTAATCCTTACATTAAATTAAAGGATGAAGTGGAAAGGTTTAAAGCAGTTTCCTCTGCTATTGAATTCCAATACATTAATATCTAAAAATTAAGCACAATATTTGTATAGTGTTACTTTAGTATTAAATATTGTATAGCTTCACATGGTAGGATTACTCTCTAGAGCAAATGTACACATATATAGCTTGCTTTTCATTTAAATACCAATCCATTGGCAGCATAGTACAAGAGAAATGGTTTTGAAGTAAGTTGGCTTTGCTAATCCTGGCTCCAGAAACTTTGGATTTGACCTGGACGAGTTTCAAAGTATCTCTGAGCCTCAATCTTCTCATCTGAAAATGGGAATAATAAATATCTACTTCAGAGAATGATGTTTTGGGATTATGTAAGAGACAATGGACATACTAAGAGATTACTCATAAACTGTTCATACTTTTCTATACCATACAAAACATATCTGGATTAAAACAGATGCAGAACCTTCACTTTATTCCCTGGTGTATCATTGTTGCTCAGCCTTACTTTCCCCAAGGTAACCAATCATTAGGAAGTCAAAGACAGAATGGTTCAGAGATGCTGATCGAAGCAAGTGCAAAGTTCATTGGCCATATCCTGGAGGGACTGTCTCTTGACAAACTTATCAGAGATTAGAACATGCTCATTCATTTAAACCAGAAAACACATTTTGAATCCTAATGTATGTTAGCCATTGCCCCAGGCATTGAGTATACAGTGCACATTTTTTTTTAGCATCATCACACTTTGGTTTTGGTACATCTTGGAAAACACTATCATCCATACCTTTGACATGATCGTATCAGTTTCATTTGTTCCTTTGGATAAAAGCACCTAAAATCTTTTATCTAGAACAGAGATTTGGAAATTTAAATATAAAAAGGCCTGCAGTTTTAAACGCAATTTCCTGAGCCCTATCTCTAGAGATAATAACTCAAAGTCTGAGGTAGGCCTTACAACTATCTGCTCAATAGATTTTGATCAACAAACTAGTTAGTCTACAGCTGTATTTCTCAGTTTCACTCAGGACGTTTATAGCCAAAGTATTCATATCTAAATGGACTTTGCGATTTTTAACAAGGAGAACTTGTCAAAAACAGTAAAGAACTAGAAGGTGATTTCTTCTTGGGAAAAAACAAATTCTGGTTATAATCAAATTTCCAAATGAACAGATTTTACTATTTGATTGAAATAAACCAATCTATGACTAGAAAATTAACTGAGGGTTGAGATTCCAGTGATCCCGTTGGTTATTAAGAGGATAATCCGAAAGGTTTCTTTGATGTGCCATGTGAACCACAATTAAAATAAACAAATATAGCTTGAGCTTTCCATCAAAAGGCTAGGAGATGTATAACATCAGTTATAGTAATTGCCTTTTGATAGTAGTCCAAGAATACAGTTACTTCCCTTTTTTTTCAATGATTCTATGAATATTTTAAATATACAAAAGTTTTAGATAGATACCAAATAAAAATTTGCATGCAGCTGTTTTTTTGGAGAGGGTTATACATGTTAAGTGTGAGCTTAATATGAATAAATACATCTAGATGAGCTGTTGTTTTGTCTCGAAACCATTCCCTGTCATTAGACAGGCTATAAGGGAATGCTGTAATATTTTGTTGCTGAGTTGCTAACTGGATATTCATGAACTAGGTGCCCTATCAACTACTCAGTCAATTGTTGTGTTAACTAGCTGCTATGTACTTTGCTGGCTTCTGCTGAGGGAGGCTACAAGACAAAACAAACAAGGGGGAAAAACCTGCCATGTGTGTAAGGTTTCATAGCAAAAAGTTTGGATAACCTGGGGAAAATAAATTTTGTTGCAATATCTAATGAAAAGAATAATGCAGCCCAGGCACAGTGGCTCACAGCTGTAATCCCAGCACTTTGGGAGGCTGAGGAGGGTGTATCACCTGAGGTCAGGTTTTTGAGACCAACCTAGCCAATATCATGAAACCCCGTCTCTACTAAAAATACAAAAATTAGCTGGGTGTGGTGGCATGTGCCTGTAATTCCAGCTACTCAGGAAGCAGAGACAGGAGAATTGCTTGAACCAGGAGGCGGAGGTTGCAGTGAGCCCAGATCGTGCCACTGCACTCCAGCCTGGGCGACAGAGTGAGACTCTGTCTCAAAAATGAAACAAAAAAAAGAACAATGCAATACTTTATTCTATGTGATTTACAGTATAAAATGGATATTTACCAGGTTATGCACCTTCACTTTCATTTTCCTTTTGGAAATCCCTTTGTGTGTTCAAGTGCAAAACTTGTAAGAAAGTCGAAAAATCAAAACGAAGTTTAAGTGGTAAAAGTGACATTATTCACTCTACGAAGATAAAATTAATTCTAGTAGAACTTAAAGTTACTCTATTTTAATTGGAGAAAGAAATTTCTCACAAGTAAGAACATTGTAGAGTTGTGAGATATACTAAGAAGTAATCAGAAATGGAAGCAATCAATTACTATGATGAATAGGAGATCATAGAAGATCAATAGAAGATTTAAATGCAGCCTGCTTACTGTTGGGAGAAAGTAGGTTAGATAAATTCACAAGGTCATTAAGAGCTTGTGTTTGTGTGTTTAACAAGCAGAACTTGTCAAAAACAAGATTTTTTTCTCTTCAATGATGGTCAGACCAACATAGTTGTGACTGATTTTGAGAAATTATTTCATTTTCAGCATCTGCTACAAACATATCCAAGAAGTCAAAGTTGTAGATCCAGATTTTAGTTGGAAAGCAGAAAAGCACCAGTTAGCAATGAGCTTTCCTTCTTTGTCTTCCTATTGCACAAGTGAAGAAACTGAGGCTTGGAGAGGCTACCCGCCCCCCACAATCATTTTCACTTGGAGAATAGGTGGCATATGGGGAACTAGAATCAAAATGCTGAGTCCCTCTGGCTAATTTTCTTTCCCCATTGTATGCCATCTATTGTGGAATCACAAGTCATATAAAGAGGATATTAATGTTCTTTTTACTTTCATATATTCCCCAAACATTTAGATTGTAAGAAGAATATTTTACTCCAGTGAAGAAAATTATTCTGTCACCAAGAAAAAAGGTTCCTCTTTCTACACAAAGATTTCCTTGCCAAAAACTAATTGCTTAGCATAAAAATGCCACCCTTTTTTCATGCATTAGTAAAATCAATTCTCCCCACTCTAATACTGCTCAGCCATTGTGTCTGTCAGCACTCTGGGTGCAAAGCTGAAATCTAAAGCTGTGTCATCAAGCACAATTAATTTTAGGGTTGATTTTGCAGTTTGTGAGCTCTCTAGGCTTTGCGCTTCTCTTCTGTTCTTCTGTAACCTACCATTTCGATATGGGGGGGGTGGGGTGGTATTGCAACCTCAATAAAACTTAGAAAAAAGGAAAGGAAATCAGGTGCCTTTGTTCATTTCTTCAAAACTTTATTGAACACTTACTTCTGTCAAACATTGGTAAGCACAAGGAATGTGGAAACCTGCAATTAACAGACCTGAGACAACTGACAGTTAGGGAGTGTACTGGACATTGATTTCTAAATTCAGATGGTAAATAGTTTAACAAAGGCAAACACAGTAGGGGTGTTGTTGAAGCACACACAAGGAACAGTAGAAACAAATTGCCTGAACTCGGATTGAAGAATAAGTAAGAGTCAGTAAGGAAAAGTAGTATGTGTGTGTGTGTGTGTGTGCCTGTGTGTGCACACATACACGCATGCATACACATGTGTATGAAAGGAAAAATTTTTGCATATTAAAGTTCTAAGAAAAGACATTTAGAGACGAACTCTATAATCCTTTGTCAAATGTAAAACTGTTGGTAGCTATTTGATCTCTATTCATGGGATACTTCTACATTATCACAGATCAAACCCCCTCACCTCATAAAATGTATCAAGGAATTTAAGATCAATTCTGTCATTAGACAAAATAAAAATCATTTTAAATGGCACATTTGAAAGATTTAACTTTTGATTTTTGAGGATTTTCCTCATAGATATCTATTCAGTCAGTAAATATGACTGGTTTGAATACTTTGTTAGAACTGGAGAAATAGAGAAGAGTAAGTTGTCACCAGCACTGCAGAAAGTGTTCAGTCTAATTAACAAGATACAGTTGGCACCCAGTAATTAAGACTATTCTGCAATAAAATATTCAAACTGGAATGAAGGCTGTGGGGGTTGTTAAAAAAGCATCTTCCGTAAAAACTTATCTGAGATAATCTTTCGTTCCCATTTGAATATTTACATAGATGCACAGTTCCACCTAGAGTCTGATTTTCAATTAGACAAAAAAAAGAGATCCAGAATCTCTACTTATAAAAAACATTTCTGATTTTGTAATTAAGAAGCCCAGTAATTAAATATGCCTGGAAAATTGTATTAGATTGCATTGCATTGGGTCAGGTACATGCTTTCATTTCACACTTAAGAGCCCCTTTTAAGAGCATAAGCAAATTAAAAAACAGCAACCCAACAAACTCTATTCCCCCTGTTAGGGGGGAAAACACATTCTAATACAGCTTCTAATTTGCCTTGCTAATTCTAATTAGTATAGTGTGAGCTGCTGGACAGTTTTTCCAGAAGGACACTCTGCAAAGAAGCATATTTCTTTAGCTGCACGCTCTGGGGAAAGAACTCAAACTGGGAAAATTGAATAGATACTTTTTCTCATTTGATTGAAGGTTATAGATGAAATAAAATAAGGTTCGAGGAAATCAAAAGAGGCTGCCCTTTTCTCTATTCAGAACTGCTGAAAAGATTGAATGATAAGATGAAACTGAAATAAAGCCTCCAGACCATTGCCTTTGAATGGTTTGGTGAGTTGCTACAATTAAAGAAACACTTGTTTACTCTTGCCACAATGCATGAGTGGGATCTACTAGGATTCTACTTGTTTCTGGGTGTTTAATTTCAGTTCTGACCCTAGAAAGTACAATCTTTGAGAGCAGGGATTGTGTGCTCCACTTTGCTTGTGCTGACTTCCATAGCTCAGATATACTAACTGGATCAGACTCCCACAATCAATACTTGCCTATTGATGAGAGGCCCATCTCCTGCCTGCCGTGATTATTGATCAGGGTCTCTGAGAGGATTCCATGGCCTTCGTCTGTCCCTAGGACTAGCCAAGAACAGCAGACACCATACATTCATAAATAGATCCAGGGCAACTTCCCTTCTCCTTCTCATTTTGAGTTTTAGTCTAAATATAAATTATTGGCTAATCAGTGCACATTCTGGCATTCTGGGGGCTCAGTACCATTGTTTTAATTATGAAAAGAGGACTTTTATTTTTTAATTTTGACTGGGGTCCAACTCAAATATTCTGACCAGTTTGTATGCTACATCTCATGAAGGGAACATATAGAATGTTTCTGATGATCCTCACAAGTATTGACTAGTAAATTACAAATAGGACCTCCAGTTTTGCATACAGCTTCTTGAAAGGGGAGCAGTTCTTTTTGTTCTAAACTGTGATGGCTTTGTTCCTCATTTAATCATTTCTGAGTTTAATTTTAAGTCATCACTATCAATTTAAAAGACAGGTTTTGATATCAACATTATGCACATCAGATTAGCGTTTTGTACTTTTGCTTTTCAGAAAATAATTGTTTTAGCTTAATGGAGTGTAAGAATAACTTAAGTAAAAGAATGCCATAGTTCCATTTGGAGGTCTCTTCTAAATTAGTTTATTCTATTTTGCTTTTGCAGTATCACTAAAGTGCCCTGTATACAGTACTTTGAAGCTTATTGAAAATACATTTCTCATATACAAATTATATTGTCTTCAAGAGAAATGCTGATTTCCTTTAAGAGGGTAATACCCTATACTGAGAAAAACAAAAAACAAAAAACTAGACCTAGTTTTCAGTTCCAATTACTAACTGATTGTTGGTTATTAAATATTCGCTTTCTTATTAGACTTTACCAGTTCCAGCAACTGGTTTACCTTAGCCTCCTGTCCATCATGGCCATTACTGATTATGAAACTAATTAGTGTTGAGTGCATGCCTGTTGAGTGTAGGCTCTCAAACTGCTGATTGAATAGATTTGGAAGAGGGCTCTGACATCTCCATTTTTAACAAACATCTCAAATTATTCAAACGCAGGTGGTCAGGGAGCCATCTTTGAAAAATACCACTCAACATGGTAAAGGCATCAGAGTCTACCAATTTATTTAAATTTAGGTTAGACAAGGTAAATTAGAGTGGTATTGTGTGTTACTAGAAAAGTATGGCACCAAAAGGAAGGCAGTTCCTTTTTTTTTTTAAGACGGAGTCTCGGTCTGTCACCCAGGCTGGAGGGCAATGATGTGATCTTGGCTCACTGCAACCTCTGCCTCCCAGGTTCAAGTGATTCTCCTGCCTCATCCTCCAGAGTAGCTGGGATTACAGGCATCCACTACCACACCCAACTAATTTTTGTATTTTTAGTAGAGATGGAGTTTCACCATGTTGACCAGGCTGATCTTGAACTCCTGACCTCAGGTAATCTACCCGCCCTTGGCCTCCCAAAGTGTTGTGATTACAGGTGTGGGCCACCGTGCCTGTACCCCCCATTTTTTTTTAAGAATTAGGGTCTTACTCTGTTGGCTAGGCTGTGAGACAGTAGTGTAATCATAGCTCACTGCAGTCTCAAACTCCTGGGCTCAAGTCATCTTCCCTGTCAGCCTCCCAAGGAGGTAGGACTAGAGGTGTATGCCAACATGCCCATCTAATTTTTTAATTTTTAATTTTGTAGAGATGGGGTCTTGTATATTGCTCAGGCTGATCTTGAACTCCTGGCCACAATTCATCTTCCCACCTCGGCCTCTAAAAGCACTGGGATTACAGAATTGAGCCACCATGCCCGGCCAAGGCAGTTTCATCACTAAATACCTGTAAAGCCTAAGACATTTGATCATGTTCTGCAGGTAGCCATAAAGTCTAGAAACAGTTGAATATACATAATAAATGGTTTGTTGATATTACATCACAATAAATGTTATATTCAATATGTTGTCTCATATTACCACTGCATAGTTTAGTGCAATGTGCAAAATTACAAGGAACATCATGTGTGAGCACTCCATTTACATCAATCTCTGCATGTGTATCTGTGATATGTTGATAAGGTTCCTCAAATTTCACTAAATAAACTTTTGATATGTTTCCTCAAATTTCACTAAATAAACTCTTTTCCTTTAGCCTAACACAAACTCTTAAATCATCAATCCAGTTTTGCAGATTATCACTCAGTCATTTCTATATCACAGTGGCCTGGGGGATGTGGTGTGCTGTGCTACTGGAACCACTCAGATGGCTTTCTTTAGCACATAAAATGGGGCATTATTTGATCACTTGAATTAGCAAACATTGTTTGTCTTAGACTTTAGTAACTACAGGACTGCCTTGGTCTCTTGCTGTACTCAACCAAAAAGGCATAGGCTGGGGAATTATAAAATTTGGATTAGAAAAAAAATAAATGTTAAGTGATCTTATATTAAGGGTCTTTCAGTTTTTAAATGATTTAGAGTTATGAAATGAGTCAGTGCTCCTGGATGTATGATAATGGAATCCTGTGGATCCCATTGGTGATATAAATTAACTCTGTGCCAAGTGCGGTGGCTCAAGCCTGTAACCCCAGCATTTTGGAAAGCCAAGGCAGAAAGATTGCTTGGGTCCAGCAGCTCAAGACCAGTCTAGGCAACATAGTGAGATCCCATCTCTACAAAAAATGGTAAAGCTTAGCTGGAGGTAGTAGAGCATGCCTGTAGTCCCAGCTACTCAGGAGGCTGAGGTGGAAGGATCTCTTGAGCCCAGGAGGTTGAGACTGCAGTGACCTGGGCAAGAGGGAAAGACCTTGTTTCAAAAAATAAACAGATAAAAATAGGTCAGGTGTGGTGGTGGCTCATGCCTGTAATCCCAGAACTTTGGGAGGTCAAGGCAGGCAGATCACTTGAGGTCAGGAGTTCAAGACCAGCCTGGCCAACATGGTAAAATCCTGTTTCTATTAAAAATAATAAAAATTAGTTGAACATGTTGGTGCATGCCTGTAATAGTAGCTACTTGAGAGGCTGAGGCAGGAGAATCGCTTGAACCTGGGAAGTAAAGGTTGCAGTGAGCTGAGATTGTGCCACTGCAGTCCAGCCTGGGTGACAGAGTGAGACTCTGCCAATAAATAAATAAATAAATAAATAAATAAATCTGGCAAGCTTTTTTCCATAATGAATCTGGATCCTCTTACCTAAGTTTGATTTTAGTTGAATCATCACTCCTCCAGGTAAACCTTTTCTGACCTCCCAGACCAGGTCAGATTCACCTATTCACCTATCTCATGGTAATACATACTTTTACCATTAGTACTTATGTAATTTTTGTTTTGTTTTGTTTTGTTTTTTGGAATGGAGCCTCACTCTGTCACCCAGGCTGGAGTGCAGTGGCAGGATCTTGGCTCACTGCAACCTCTGCCGGATTCAAGCGATTCTCCTGCCTCAGACTCCTGTGTAGCTGGGCTTACAGGCGCCTGCCACCATGCCCGGCTAATTTTTGTATTTTTAGTAGAGATGGGGTTTCACTATTTTGGTCAGGCTGGTCCCAAACTCCTGACCTCATGATCCACCTGCCTCGGCCTCCCAAAGTGCTGGGATTACAGGCGTGAGTCACCTCGCCTGGCCCTTATGTGATTATTTAACTGATTTCTGCCCCTTTGCTAAATTATAAGATCTTCAAAAACCAGAACTATGTATCTTTTTGCTGAATATTTTATTCCCAGTACAAAGCACATCTGACATGAGGTTGGTAGTCAAAAAATAATTGTTGCGTGAATGGTTGTAAAATTAAATGAGCACAATTTTCAGTGAACCTGGAAAGTTTTGCCTATGGTATCACCTTCTTCTCAATATCTTATCTTCTTCCTAAGGGACACACTTCATTTATTACAGTCCATTGAAACCCATTTTCCATGAAGAGTAACCTGAAATGGAAGAAAATTCCAGAGTCATAATTTTAAATTAAGTTAGCTTGATGGCCTTCCAATAGAATGGAAGAAGCAAAGAAAGATGTTAAATTCTGCCTCCCTTTTTTTCCTCTTCCTCAAACAGCTCAGTCCTGCCTTTGTTTACTTAAAATGTATCCAAATATTTATTTCTCAGTAGGTTTATGGGGTATTTTTAAGGTATTTGAGATGTTGTCCAGCGTAGTATATTTTTGTCTCCCACTTGGCTTTTTGGAACAGCGTTATCTCTTCGTTTTCTAAGTTGGAAATACCCTTTAAAGAAATAATCAATGCGATGATTTGAAAGCTAGGGGAAGGATAAAATAAAAGTAAACACTACCAGTTATTTTTTTAAATTGCTTCTCAAATGCCCTTCTCTGGAGGAGACTGTAAAGGCCTATTCAAGCTGAAATAATGGCTAACAGTGGCCAGTGCTGTTCCAACAGCAACACCAGGCACTAGCAAGTAATCTCTCTGTTTGGTGTGTATAATGTATGAAAAAAAGTGACTGCTTATACAATTGGACTGATTACTTACTTTCTCTGGTGGCAGAAAGAGCATTTATCGTCCCTGTAACAAGCTTCACATGAATCAGCCTACTTTAAAGGGACTTATCTAGGGTTAGGAAAAGTATATTTTTTCAATTTCCTTTCAAATTCATTCTTATTCTAGTTGGTATATGTTTTCTTTTTGGCTAGAAAACTAAACTAACCTTCTAGAGTTTGTTTTTTTTTTAAACCTGTAATTTCATCGGTAATAAAATCAAAAGTATTTAATGCTACATACTCTTTTTAAAAGAATTCCCTTTAATTCATTGTTGGTAAAACATTGGTCATCTGTCCAGAAGTTAGAGAATGTTTGTATGCTGTCTCAGTTTAATCACACACACTTACCAATCACATGAGACTCTAACATTACCCCTGACAACTGTATGTGGCTACTCTAGTTCTCAATAACCCATTTATTTAAGAGCTATTGAGAATGGTATTTGCAATGTGAGGGAATGATCTGTTTCAACTAACAGATGGAATATTTAGAGTACTATATTCTGATATCTCTTGGCATATCTCATATTCCTTCATAAATCAATTTTTAAATCACATTGAATGAAGCTTCTGGTTAGCGGGTTGCTCATTTGTCAGTTTTTCCAGTGAAAAAGATTGACCAAAAATCACTATTTACACTTCAGAAGCTTCCATACAGATTATTGCCAACTCTCTCAGGGTCCTGTGGCAAGAAAATCAATATTGGATGCACGAGAAGGTATGTGTGACCTTCCAGAAAGTAATAGAAGTGTGAGAATTGTACTGGAAAACAAAATGGAAAAAATACGTATATTACTTATATAAGCACAATGAATCACTCTGACATTCCTCAAAAGAATGAGATTTTATAGAAAACCTGTGAGAAACATAATAGCAATTCTTAAAAACCAGATTCCTCCAAAAATTGCTATGTACAATTATTTAAATATAAGTTAGAGAAACAGTAAGATAAAGTTGATTTTAAAAAAACTCTAGAAGGAGATATATCCCTAAAACCTTAATAGCCACATGTTGTGCTAATGATAATAACTTGAACTGCTATAAATCTAAAAAAACTAAGTAGCTGCATAGGCCTTACTTTAGAGGAGCTAGCATTGGTCATCAATTGTCTATTTGGGGTCAGATAGCATGGTAGCCTCCAAGGATACAAAAATACTCCATGCTCTCAAAGAGCTTACCCTTTGGAGTTTCCATCTACTAGCATCTAAAGACTACTGAAAACTGCCATTGTCAGGGAACTGCATCTTCATTCTTTTAACTTTTTTATCATGTTGCCCAAGCCTTTATTTTTTTCCTTTGAGAGAGAGTCTTGCTCTATCACCCAGGCTGCAGTGCAATGTTATGATATCAGCCCACTGCAACCTCCGCCTCCCAAGTTCAAGAGATTCTCCTGCCTTAGCCTCCCAAGTAGCTAGGACTACAGGTGCGTGCCACCATACCTGGTTAATTTTTGTATTTTTAGTAGAGATAGCATTTTGCCATGTTGGCTAGGCTGGTCAAGTGATCCATCTGCCTTGGCCTCCTAGAGTGCTGGAATTATAGGCGTCAGCCACCGTGCCTAGCCTGCCCAAGACTTTTAATATTATAATAGATTAGTCACTCGATAGAAGTTGAACACATGTGTTCTTATTTTGTTTTAACTGATTGGGTTTTAGTAAAATATTCAGTGGTCCCAGGCTATATGATGTTTAATCTAAGTGGAGCATTAAATGCTCAGTAGAACGTAAATGATATTCAAGTGAATAAACAAAGATTGATTGAGAAAAAATGTGGCAGTTGACTAAAAGGAGAGGTAGATATTGAGATGGTATAGTTTTTTTTCCAAATAAAATCTTAGAGTGAATGGGAAACAATTTAAAAATAAAAGGGGTGAGAAGAGAAGGAATAGGATGGCTGTCATGTTTCCCGTTTTGCATGTGTAGGGGAGCATGTGGGCACCTGTGAGTGTGCTACTGAAACAGGAAGAGGAAGAGGGTTTCTAGAAGACAAACAACACCATGTGCCAGAGTTGTTTAGAGCTGAAATAAAGTATGAAATGTTTATCTGAGATGATAAGCTGGATAAAACAGAGGTCTGAAAATTTGACAGACTTTGGATGGTTTAGCCTGTTTCTCCACATTTGTTGAATTTGTATGAGTTTCAGGATAGTATGGATGAAACAAGAGTGTCAACCAGGGGATGATTTGGATTTGGTTACCCTCTTCTCCCCCAGGAAACATTTAGCAATGTCTGGAGACATTTTTTATTGTCATACCTGGGGTTGGGTGTTACTCATGTCTAGTGGGTAGTGGCCAGAGGCACTACTAAACATCCCACGATACACAGGACAGGCCCTTACAACAAAGAATTGACTAATCCAAAATGGCAATACTATAGTGCCAAACATAAGAAACACTGTTCTAGACCTATTCTTCCAAAGTGTTTCCAGACTTTGTAAGAATCCAAATCCCATTTGACTACTTTTTACTTTTCTTCTAATTTAATATATTTCATCATTCACAAAGAATCAAATTATTAGTATTGATTTAATTTTGGCCTTAATAATTATTATCAGATATTACAACACTGTATCTTTCTTGGTTTCCACTGCATCTGTGTGTTTTTTAGAAGGATTCTCTGAGAAAATGTTTTGTTCTAATGGAACAGAATACCAGTCCTGATTAAAACCAGGAAAAATTAAGACTTGGGGCTCCAAAGATATATTTTTATATTAGTCTTTTACCATTATAACCTTCCGGCTATTTTAATGCAAACTTGTTTCTGTAAAGCCATATTTTGGTTGCTATAACAACTTGATGTAGCTCTTGATGAGCTCTTCTTGCCTTAATGCTGCTTTTTAAAAAGTTGGGGTTGCTATGACTACAAAATGCTGTTTTATTTTCAGCAAGCTTTTTCCCCTTGTAAATTTGCTTTCAAAATATATATGTGTACATGCATGCATATTTGTGTGCTTCTACTTGCATGCCTTATAGAAGACTAGACTATAGTAAAAACTGAAGTCTAAAATCACCAGAAGAAAGATAACAGTTGATTTATTTTGGTGATACTATTATTTTTAAACTGATTTTCATAATGTTAGATGAACTCAGATTTGAGCTGTTTTTCTCCTTCTTCGAATTATGTAACTGTTTAATGACAGCTCCCCTTCTTTGTTTCATGATTTACTTCTCTTGTCCTTTGTGTTTTAATCTCTTCCTGTTTCCAAGTATTTATACCTCTGCCTTAGATGGTCATTTGAACTCTAAAAATGTGGAAGCATGTGTGTCTTAATATGCTCATTATTATAGGTGGACTCTACTTTCTAACACTACTGATTATGGCCTTCTTCATATCAAAGGTAATAACAAAATTCCCATGGCTAAGAATCTCATTCAAATTTTGAGAAGCCATAAAGCTGGAAGTTGGGATACTTTTCTTCTATTATTAACTCTGTCACAATTAGCAATATGAGCATCTGCTAACCACAAATCTTTCTAGAGGAGTGCTATCCAATAGAAATAAAATACAGCCACATAGAAAATTTAAAATTTTCTAGTAGCTAAGTTAAAAAGTAAAAAGAAGCAGGTAAAATTAATTTTAATAACGTGCTATCTCACCCAATATATCCCAAATATTATCATTTCAATCTGTAATAAATATTTTTAAATTATGAATGACATTTTAAAACTTTTTTTCTATTAAATCTTGGAAATTCAGTAGGTACTTTACACTTACAGCACACCTCACTTCAGCTGAGCCACATTTCAACTGCTTATCAGCCACATGTGACTAGTGGCTACCATATTAGACATATCAAGCTTTAGATCTCAATCAAATTTAGTCATACAACAAAGTTTCTTATTTATTGTTCACTTACTAGTTTGAGGGCCCTTTGTTAAGTCTTAGGAATACTTAAATGATTAGGAAAAGTTTTTCTTAGTTCATTTTTGAGAGAGAGAGAGAGGAAGAGAAGATGAAGATGAAGAAGGAGGAAGAAGGAGAGAAAGGGAGGAGGAAGACAGCAGGGGGAGGGGGAAAAGAAGAAGGGAGGGAGGGAGAGAGGAAAGAAGGAGGGAAAGCAACTGGAAAGATGCAGATTTTCAGATATTTTTTGCTATTTTATTATAATCTAATGTTATTTTATTTCATTATAATTAATTTGAGAATAAAGTAGGCATTCTGAACTACTTTAGTGTTACTTGTTCACAGTTGTATTCCCAACTTCTTGGGGAAGGGAATGTTTGGGACAGATTAGCTACTCCCCATATATTTATTGAATGAATGAATGAATCTCCTTTGTGATTGAGTCCAAGACTAAGTAAATATTATTGTCAAGGAATAGTTTGAAAAATAAAACCGTACATGAATATTTTAGAAAGGCGAAGGGAGGAGTGGCTAACAATTTGAAGTGAAGGGAAATAATGTAAAAGATTGTTATTCTTTCTATGTGTGTTGTTTCTCTTGCTGTGTGAAGAATTGCGTCTGTAAACAAGGAGGAGCACATAAATGCCTGACATTGTTTTGGTTCCACCCGGCAGGGTATGTTGCCAGAACATCATTGATGTGTCCAGATCCCTGATCACATTGCTGCTTCCATATCCCTTTCCTGCCTTTTCTCATTTGAAAAAAGCCAAATCAAAGTGAGCATGTGACCCTTTTAGCCTGCTCAGTAAAGGAGGTTTCTGTTTTCTTTTTAACCATGTGTCATTTTTTATCACCATTATTTTAGAAATAAAGTGGCAGATTGAATTTTTTTTTTTTTTTTTTTTTTTTTTTTTTTTTTTTTTTTTTTTTTTTGTAAGCTGAGCCATTTTGCCTGAAATGCAGAGGTTTGGGTGATCTAATCTGATCTGGAAATCAGAGAAATAAGGGAAGCATGTTATAACTTGAGTGGATTCCAAAATCAGGTTATAGATGATAATCTGGTCTGTGAATTAAAATGTTTGATGCTGACAGCTCTTCATATTACAAAAAATTTTAACCAGCTCCCATCATTTGTCACAGATTTTTTTAACCTCTCTTCAGTAATGCAACAAAATGTCTGGCATTTCATGTCTCATGTCTCTTCGGCCCTTGTAAATTGGAATTACATTCAACACATTTCACTTGGAGAGTTTAAAATATAAGGTGATTTTGGAATCCTTGTTAGAGTTCCACAGTAAGACATCATTCTACATTAGCCCGAGGGGTTCGCTCAACACAAATATTAGAATATACTTGAGATTTGAACAACCCTAGGTTTCTACGATCATGTCATTTGTGTCTAAACTGGTAAATGGAACTATTGCTACTTCAAGGAGTTTTGTTTATATCGAACACTAGACAACATAGGCTAATGCTTGGTACTAAAATATATGAATCAGAAATTATTTGAGTTATTTACCATAACCTTATGTTTACTTGTAGACATTGTGAACTGTTCAACTGTTCATTCTGTTTTATCCTGTGTCACTTTGGGTTTTTTTTCTTTTTTTCTCTTTCCTTATTTATTGAGATGGGATCTCACTCTGTCACCCAGGCTGGAATGTAGTGGATGATAGCGACTCACTGCAGCCTTGACCTCCTGCGTCAGCCTCGTGAGTAGCTGGAACCATGCCTGGCTGATTTTTTTAATTTATTTTTTGTAAAGACAGGGTCTACCTATGTTGCCCAGGCTGGTCTCAAACTCCTGGGCTCAAGTGATCCTCCCAGCTCGGCCTCTCAAAGTGCTAGGATTGGAGACATGAGCCACTGCGCCTGGCTGGCTTTGATTAATATATATGTGTGTGTGTGTGTGTGTGTGTGTGTGTGTGTGTGTGTGTGTGTGTGTATATATTCATATATATATTAATTTTCCAACTGGTGACATGGGTTAAAAATTTATTAGATTATATTTATAATCATATGTATTCTTTTTCCTAGGTATAATGTTTTTAATGTGAGTCTTCTTGTACCCCCTCCCCCCAAAAAATTTTATGGGCTGCCTTTAACTTTTGGATGAAATAATTCAAGTTTATTTTTTCTGAGATGGAGTCTCACTCTGTTGCCTAGGCTGGAGTACAGTGGCGCAATCTGGGCTCACTGCAACCTCTGCCTCTCTGGTTCAAGCAATTCTCCTGCCTCAACCTCCTGTGTAGCTAGGATTACAAGTGCAGACCACCATGCCTGGCTAATTTTTGTATTTTTAGTAGAGACGGGGTTTCACCATGTTGGCCAGGCTGGTCTCGACCTCCTGACCTCAAGTGCTCTGCCCACCTTGGCCTCCCAAAGTGCTGGTATTTCAGGCATGAGCCACAGCATCCAGCCTCAAATTTTTAATCATTAGACTATAAGGCACACTAGAAACATGAAATTTTGGAGATGGCCGGGACTTTCAAATCAACTAGTTTAGTTATTTTCAATCTTTTTGTCTGGTGAGTTCTTTACTCAAGCTAAGTGAACCCCAAAGTTCAAACACGAAGTCAAATTGAAGAACCAAGGAAGAAGGAATGTAGGTGAAGAGGATAGGGAAAGCGCTATCCCTTTCCTGGAGTTCAATTCCAAAGCCATAAATCACTTTACCTCTATCCATTTGCTAATAAGATAAAAAGGGTTTTGTTCAAGGTCAGACAGCTCTGCCTGAAAGCCTGGTTGGTGTCTTTTGGATTCATTTGTTCAGCAATTATGTGAGTGCCTATTATGTATCTCACTGGTTCTTAGGATACTGGAGATCTTGGGGTACAACCATGAACAAGTAGAGAAAGGCTTCATGCAGCTTATGATTTAGCACAGGAAGACAAATAATACACTAGTAAATGCATATTGCAGTTAATTTCAGACTGTGACCAGGTAAGGTGATGACATAGAGTGACTTTAGGAGAAGGGGTTGAGATCAGAGAAGGCCTCTTGGAGGAGGTGACATGAAGTTTGTGCATACCTCTACTCCTCTATTGTCTTCAAGAGAGCTATCTTCAATTACTAGCAAGGCTGTCACGCTGGGATGGTGCAGTGGAAAGAACACTCCATCCGGAATCCCAAGGTCTAGGTGTTTACCCCACTTCTGTGTCCTTATAAGACTTTATATATTTTATTTTATTTTATATCTGTGAAATGAGAGTCATCATATCTGTACAGGATTAATGAAGATCTGGTCCCTGCCTTTTTTTTTTTTTTCAGCCTTCTTAACCACCCTCTTCCTTACCACACCAGTCTCTTAAACATTATTTCCCATGAATGCTAAATTTATTTATATTCTCAAGGTATTCCAAGCCTTTAAAAGAGCTGTGGTTCTCTCAGCCTGGAATGATTCCCTTTCAAGTTCCTAGTTTTTAAACTAGGAACTCATTACTCCTATCTGAAACTTGCTCTGATTCTTTCATACAGAGGGAAGAATGATTGTTGTTTTGCCTCATTTTTTGAACCATTTAAGATGGCGTTTATAAAAGTTGTTTTTTAACCTTCTAAAATGTTGTTTCATCCCATGTATTACAATAAATAACTAATAATTATCTATGTATTCTTTCTTCCCCCATTAGATCATGAGCTCTTTAAAGGCCCAAACCATATCTGATTCACAACCACATCATGGGCTCTCGCCACACAGATCAAAATCTAAAAAGGAAAGTGGATGCAATGTAAATTTTTCTTAATGCTGTGTGAGGAGAACCTTATCCAAAACGATTTCACAGAAAAGAGCATTTGTTTTGCTGATACGGGAGAGTTTCTTTATTCCAATCACAAGGCATGTGACAGGGGTGTGGCTCACTTCTTCGGTGCCCACTGCTCAAAACCCTAGGGGGAGCATGCAGACAGGCAGGTGCAGAGGCCTTGGGGAGTGCTTTTGGGATCTGGCCCATGGCAGTGTCCAGGACTCCCAAAGCCCAAGTGGGCGTGTGTTACAGTGCGCTCTTTCAGCTATGCCATCTGCAGATGCCTGTGTTAGTCAGCTCAATAGACCCTCTGCCTTATTGCAAGGACAGGGGGCCATTGTGACAGCCTGAGTTCTTGCCCAATGTACTGGAAGAATCAGACCACATATGGGCTGGAAGGTTGAGAGCAAGGTTTGATTGAGTAGTGGAGGTGGCTCTCAGTGAGATGGATTGGGAGCCAGAAGAGGGGATGGAATGGGAAGGTGGTCCTCCCCTGGAGTCGGGCCGCCCAAGGCTATACTCCCCTCGGCATCTGCGTTGTTCTGCCATCACTGGTCTGGTGGTGTCTGTTGGTGTCCGCAGGTCTGCTCCTCTGCTCCTCTCAACATCCAGCTGCTTGTGTCTGTGTCCTCTTAAGATCTCAGGTTTATATGGGCACAGGATGGGGGGGCATGGTGGACCAGAGTAGTCTTGGAAAATGCAACATTTGGGCATGAAAACAGGAGTTCCTGTTCTCACTTAGGTCCGTAGGCACAGGCCCGAGGGTGGGGCCCTCATTAGGGCTCCCTGCCCTTCTCTACCTAGCACTTCCCTGCCCCACTCTCGTATCACTGTTACACACCTTACATTGCAAAGGTGGTTGCTTTCTGCCTTATCCTGGGAAACAGACATATGTGCTTGCTGAGCCCTTCGCTAAATTTACAAGAGTATATACACTGAATAGGAGGCAGAGAAACAAACATAATACTTTACTCATTCTCAGATTTCCTCCCATTCCAAGGAATGTAACATATACTGCTCTGGGTACAAGAGAGTGTAACCATTCCATCTAATACCATCCTGCAAAGTGCTTTAGAAAGTAGAATGACAATAGAGCCGGCCTTTGGTAAACATTTAAAGTGTGTTTTATCATCTTTCACCAAATCCCATCTTTTCATCGTTTCCTTCATTGACTTATGATAAATAAAAAAGCGGGGAAACAATTTTGGGGGAGCCAATAGAGTATAGGACTAAAATACTTGGTCTTAATGTTAGAGGACCTGAGTGCAATGCAATGCTCATTTACTTGCCAGTTTTTTATCCTGGACAAATAAGTTACTTCATATCTAGTACCCCTGTTTACTCATCTTTAAAATGTGAATAATACCTGTTTCATAGGTTGTTCTAAAGACTACATGGCTAACGCATCTGGGACTAGCTAACACGACACCTGGTAAATAGTAAGAACTTTAAAAAAATTTATCATTTTTTTAATTACATGTAATTATTGATGACATTGTTGGTTTATTTTTATATTATAATTTCCTATGGCTAAACCTAGCTCAATAGTAAATTTTCAATAAATGGTAGGTTAATTTATTACTGGATTTATTCAGTATTTCTCACATCTGTTCCTTTCTTCTCATTTTTAAAGTATTTTCAAAACTGTTTCCCTCTGTCTCTCCAGACTAATTGGGTAACTAGCAACTACATAAAGACAACCTATGGATTTCAAGGATCTTTCATTACTGTAAACCTGGTAATCAAACTGGTAACTCTTTCTGAGGCCTGAAGAAGTTGCTGTTCTGAGAGTTCTGTTATGCAGCCATCACTGTTTTTAGGTGTTTTCCTTTGCTATAGAAATAAATGAGAAGTATGTATGTGGTTTATTTCACTTCATTTTATTCTGACCAACACAGTAGTGAAGCTTCCAATTGAAGACAGAGTAATTATACATGTCATATCCAGTAAAGAATTAATGGCATCTTTTCGTTCCTCACCAAAAGGGGTAAATCAGAGGCTAGGGGAGTCATCTGGATAAAAGAGAATATTTAAAATACTCATTTAGAATTTAGAATGCAAATCAAAGTATGCCTGTTTAGTATTTTACTTAAAAAAAATAGTCTAGCAACAAGCTAGAGGGAGATGTTTTATTTTGGTAAAGCGCGTCTTCTATCATCATTTCTTAAATGAGTGAATCTAAGTAGGTTCTTTCTGCTTGTGTTCCTAGGGAAACAATTGTTCCTGGAATGAGATCCTATATTCAGAAGGGAGCAATCTAAAGAGAGTGGTTGTGACTAAAACATAGTAGCTTAACTGCAAATTGGTAGGAAGTGGTAGGCTACCCAAGCTAATCTGCTGATTGCTAATTTTCTTGGGTGTTGTTGCACTGCCTTGCTGTAATTGAATAGGCCCAGATTACCCTGGGAGGGTGGAGTATTACAGCCCTCTGAAGAGAACCCTAGTGTGTGTGGTGTTTTCCTTTGTGTCTGCTGATGAAAAGCCCAGTAATCCTGAAAGCGATCTGAAACCAATTTTGCCACCGGCATCCTATGTGGTAAAAATGGTCTTTAAATGTGCATATCGAATTAGTAGACTCTCACTGAGAGGCTTTAATGGAAGGAGTTTCTGCTTCACTAATTTGGTGTGGATACTTAAACAACTTTTCTTTATTTGCAGCTATGCATGGGCAGAGAGGTAGTTAATTTTTTACCGTCCTTAGTAAGTCCAATCCAGAACAGGGCTGGCAAACCTTTTCTGTAAAAGCCAGATAGTTAATATTTGAGACTTTGTGGGCTAAGAGGTAAAATTGAATATATGATGTAGCTACATATAAAACGAGGGAAAACGTCTGCCCTTGTCCTGTTTGCCTGGGAGCTGTGGGCTCTCAGTAGCAGCTAGGTGAGAGGAAAAGGAAAGTTGATGACATTTCTCAATTGTCTTGCTCTGCCTGGGAGCTCCAGCCTCCACAGACCATCACCCTGTCTCTCATTCCCATGTCCCAACTTTCTGTTCTCCCTCTATATCTCCTATCTGGTAAATAATACTCACATTACAGTCAGCAGAACCTGCCTTAGTGGCCCGAAGCCAGTTGGATCCCTCCCCGCTGCCCAGGAGGTAGAAGGAAGAAAAGAGATAAGTGCCTATTATTCTCCATTGAAATGATGACTACATTTTGCCTTGATGGCGGTACTAGCAGTGTATGTTGGTCTTTGTATTCTGGTCAGTTCTTTCAATTAGAGGAGGAGTGTAGAGAATTCTAAGTCCAGATATTTGATTAAAAAAAAGAAACTCTTGGAACAAACCAAATGTATAATTAGTAGCTACCACTAGTGCTTCTTTGTACTGAGGGTATTTAGCTGTTAAAATATCATTGGTTTTGTTTCCATTTCCAAATGATGTTTTGTAGTAATTGGCTCAATTAATACATAAATTCAGACACTTTCAAGTATTTTTGCTGAAAACATATTTTCCCTTTGAATTTTCAAAATCCACCTTCAACCCCTACTTGCTGTCGATTAAATACTGGTTCTGACTGCATCTTAATGCCAATTTATGGTAGCTTGGCTCAAATACAGTCATGTGCTGCGTAACAAAGTTTCTGTCAACAACAGACTGCATATACTATAACCGTAATAGGTTTGTTGCCTGATGCACATGGGAAGTCAGTACACCAAGACACTAGGATGAAGCTGAGGAAGAGGTTTGATTGTAAGGCTGCTGAATGAGGAGACGGAAGGAAACCACAAATCCTTCTCCCTGAGAAGTGTGGGGCTAGAGTTTTTATGGGTTTTGGAGTGGGCCAGAGTGTAGAGATTATTGATTGTTCAAAGAGTGCAATTTGAAGTCATGGGACAGGGAGTTGAAGAAACTGTATTCTCATGCTGATTCAGTTCTTCTGTGAGAGTCTTTAAACTGGTTGATGTCAGCTGTTCTGCTGGAATTCACGATCTGCTTAAATGATTTTTAAACAAAAGCTTTATGATTCTAACATCAGTGGTCCTATTTAAAATAAAAGCCTTGTGATTATAACATCAGAAATCCTATCTATAGGAACAGTAGGGATGCAGATGGTCAGTATCTAGTGTTACATGACTTTCTGTTATTAGGAAGTGAATCAAAATGCAACCTAATTAATGCTTAATTATAACGACATTTCTGTCCAAAAATTTCTGTTAACCTTGTGAGGATGGCTTCAGTATGGTGATAGTGCCATAACATTATAATAGAGTTGAAAAATTCTTACTGCCGGGTGACATCTTGATGACCCTGACACTATGTAGGTCTAGTATAATGTGTGTATTTATGTCTTAGTTTTTAACAACAACAACAAAAAAGTAAACAAACAAATGAAATAAGAAAAAGCTTATGGAATAAGGATATAAAAATATTTTTGTAGTGCTGTATGATGAGTTTGTATTTTAAGCTAAGTGTTATTACTAAACAGTCAGAAAGTTTTAAAAAATTAAAAAGTTTATAAAGTAAAAAAGTTATAATAAGCTAAGGTTAGTTTATTATTTTTTTCTTTAATTTATTTATTATTATTATACTTTAAGTTTTAGGGTACATGTGCACAATGTGCAGGTTAGTTACATATGTATACATGTTTATTATTTAAGAAATATTTTTTAAAAAAAATTTAGTGTAGTCTAAGTGGACAGTGTTTAAAAAATCTACTATATTCATGTCCTAGGCCTTCACACTCACCCACCAGTCATTCACTGACTTACCAGAGCAACTTTTATTAGAACCCTGCAAACTCCATTCATTGTAAGTGCTCTATATGGGTGTGTCATTTTTTAAATATTGTTAAAAATTTACACTTTTGGTGAGAATGTAAATTAGTTCAACCATTGTGGAAGATGGTGTGGCAATTCCTCAAAGATCTAGAACCAGAAATACCATTTGACCCAGCAGTCCCATTACTGGGTATATACCCAAAGGAATATAAATCATTCTATTACAAAGATACATGCACACATATGTTCATTGCAGCACTATTCACAATAGCAAAGACATGTAATCAACCCAAATACCTATCAACAACAGACTGGATAAAGAAAATGCAATACATATATACCATGGATTACTATGCAGCCATAAAAAGGAATGAGGTCATGTTCTTTGCAGGGACATGGTTGAAGATGGAAGCCATATCCTCAGCAAACTAACACAGGAACAGAAAACCAAGCACCACGTGTTCTCACTTTTTAGTGGGAGCCTAACAATGAGAACACATGGACATAGGGAGGGGAACAACACACACTGGGGCCTGTCAGGGATTATGGTAGGGGAAGGGAGAGCATTAGGAAATATAGGTAATGCATGCTGGGCTTAATACCTAGGCGATGGGTTGATAGGTGCAGCAAACCACCATGGCACACATTTACCTATGTAACCTGCACATCCTGCACATGTACCCCAAACTTATAAATTAAAAAAAAATTTTTTTGATCCATTGTATTTGTACATATTTATGGGTACATGTGAAATTTTGCCACGTGAATAGAATGTATAATGATTAAGTCAGGACATTTAGGGTATCTATCACATGAGCATCATTTGTATGTTTTGGGTATATTGCAAGCTCTCTCTTCTAGTTTTTTTAAAATGTACAATACACTGTCATTAACTATAGTAACCTTACTAATCTATCAAAGAAGAGCTTATTCCTTCTATTGAACTGTGTATTTGTACCCATTAACTAACCTCTCTTCATCCCCACTGCCACTCATACACCCTTTCCAGTCTCTGGTATCCATCATTCCACTCACTACCTCCATGTGAGCAATGTTTTTAGTTCCAACATATATGTGAGAACATGCAATATTTCTCTTTCTGTGCCTGGCTTATTTCCCTTAACATAATGACCTCTCTCCAGTTCCACCCATGTAGTTGCAAATAACATAATTTTAATTTTTGTGGCTGAATAGTATTTCATTGTCTATATATATCTCACATTTTCTTTATTCATTCATTTGTTGATAGACACTTAGATTGATTTCATATCTTTGCTATTGTTAATAGTGCTGCAATACTATTCACAATAGCAAAGACATGGAACCAACCCAAATGTCCATCAATGATAGACTGGATAAAGAAAATGTGGTACATAAACACTGTGGAACGCTATGCATAAAAGGACACTATGCCATAAAAATGAATGAATCATATCTTTTGCAGGGACAGGGATAAAGCTGGAAGCCATCATCTTCAGCAAACTAACAGAGGAACAGAAAGCTAAACACTGCATGTTCTCACTCATAAGTGGGAGTTGAACCATGAGAACACATGAACACGGGGAGGGGAACAACACACACTGGGGCCTATCAGGGCTTGGGGGGAAAGGGGAGGGAGAGCATCAGGACAAATAGCTAATGCAAGCAGGGCTTAAAACCTAGGTGATGGACTGATAGGTGCAGCAAACCACCATGGCACATATATACCTATGTAACAAACCTGCACATTCTGCACATGCATCCTGGAACTTACAGTTAAAAAAAAAAAAAGTAGTGCTGCAATAAACATAGACGTTTATGTGTGCCTTTGATATATTGATTTATTTCCTTTTGGATAAATACACAGTAGTGGGATTGCTGGATAGTGTGACAGTATTGTTTTTAGTATTTTGAGAAATCTTCAAACTGTTTTTCATAATAGTTGTACTAATTTACATTCCCACCAACAGTGTATAACAATTTGTCACTCCACATCCTCACCAACGTCTATTATTTTTTGTCTCTCTAGTAATAGCCATTCTCACTAGGGTGAGATGATATCTCATTGTGGTTTTGATTTGCATTTCCCTGATGATTAATGATGTTGAGCATTTTTTCATATGTCTGTTGGCCATTTGTATGTCTTCTTTTGAGAAATATCTATTCATGTCCTTTGCCAATTTTTAATAAGATTATTTGCCCTTTTTTAAAAAAAAAACGTTAAATTGTTTCTTTGTGTATTCTGGATATTAGCCCCCTGTCAAATGAGTAATTTGCATATATTTTCTCCGTTTCAAGAGGTTGCCCCTTTACTCTGTTGATTGGTTATTTTTGCTGTGCAGAAGCCTTTAATTTAATATAGTCCCATTTGTCTATTTTTTTTTTTTTTGCAGCCTGTGCTTTTGAGGTCTTATTCATAAAATCTTTGCTTGCCTAGACCAATGTCCTAAAGAGTTTGCCTTATATTTTCCTCTAGTACTTTTATAATTTCAAGTCTTATGTTTAAGTCTTTAAATCATCTTGAGTTGATTTTTGTACACAGTGAGAGATAGAAATGCAGTTTCATTCTTCTGCATATGGTTAACCAGTTTTCCTAGCACCATTTATTAAAAAGGGTGTCCTTTCCCCAATGTGTGTTCTTAATGGCTTTGTCAAAGATCAGTTGGCTATAAATATATCGATTTATTTCTTGGTTTTCTACTCTTTTCTATTGGCCAATTTGTCTGTTTTTGTGTCAGTGCCATGCTGTTTTGATTACTGTGGGCTTGTAATACATTTTGAAGTCAGGTAATGTAATGATTTCAGCTTTGCACTTTTTACTTGGGATTGCTTTGGCAATTCTGGCTCTTTTTTTCATTTCATAAACATTTGAAAGATTATTTTGTTTATTTCTGACAAAAATGACATTAGTATTTTCATAGGGATTTCATTGAATCTGCAGATTGCTTTGGGCAGTATAGTCATTTTAACAATATTCTCCTACTCTATTAGCATGAAATGCCTTTCCATTTGTTGTGTCCTCTTCAGTTTTTTTCTTCAGTGTTTTGTAATTTTTCTTATAGAGATCTTTCACCTTGGTTAAATGTATTCCTAGGTTTTTTTGTGTGTGTCACTATTGTAAATGGGATTGCCCTCTTGATTTCTTTTTCAGTGATTTCATTATTGTTGTATAGAAATGCTACTGACTTTTGTATGTTGATTTTGTATCTAGCAATTTTACTGAATTTATGACTTCTAAAAAATTTTTTGTGGAATCTTTTGGTTTTTCTATATATAAAGTGTGTCATTTGTAAAGAGGGACAATTTGACTTTCTCCTTTCCAATGTGAATGCCTTTTATTTCTTTATCTTGCCTGATGCACTGGCTACAACATCCGGTACTTTCTTGAGTAAGAGTGGTGAAAATGTGCATCCTTGTCTTGTTTCAGTTTAAAAGGAGAGTCTTTCAGATTTTCCCCATGATGATGTTTGCTGTTGGTTTATCATATAGGGCCTTTATTATTTTTATGTATGTTGTTTTTATGCCTCATTTGGTGATAGTTTTTATCATGAAGGAATGTTGAATTTTATCAAATGATTTTTCTGTATCTATTGAGATGATCATATGCTTTTTGTCCTTCATTCTGTTGATATAATATGTCACATTTATTGATTTGTATATGTTGAGCCATCCTTGCGTACCTGGTATAATCCCACTTGATCATGACGTATTATCTTTTTGATGTGATGTTGGATTTGGTTTGCTAGTGTTTTGTTGAAGGATTTTGTGTGTATGTTCATTACGGTATTGGCCTGTAGTTTTATTTTAAGGAGGATTGATATTAGTACTTCTTTATACATTTGATAGAATTACACTGTGAATCCATCCAGTCCTGGGCTCTTCTTTGTTTGAAAACTTTTTATTACTGATTCAATCTCATTACTCACTATTGGTCTGTTCAAATTTTCTGTTTCTTCCTGATTCAATCTTGGTAGGTTGTATGTTTTTAGGAATTTATCAGTTTCCTCTAGATTTTCCAGTTTGTTAGTGTATAGTTATTTATAATAGTTTCTGGTGGTCTTTTGTATTTCTATGGTACCAGTTGCAATGTCTGCTTTTTCATTTCTGATTTTGTTTATATGGGTCTTCTCTCTTCTTGGTTGATCTAGCTAGTGGTTTATCAATTTTGTTTATCTTTTTGAAGATCCAACTTTTCATTTTATTGATTCTTTGTAATTTTTTTAGTCCCTATTTCACTTAGTTCTGTTCTGATCTTTATTATTTCTTTCCTTCTGCTAATTTTGGGTTTGGTTTGTTCTTGCTTTTCTAGTTTATTTGAAATTTTTCTACTTTCTTGATTCAGCATTTATTTCTGTAATGTTCCCTCTTAGCAGTGGTTTTGCTGTGTCTCACAAGTTTTGGTATGTTGTTTCCATTTTTATTTGTTTTAATTTTTTTATTTTCATATAAATTTTTTCATTAACCCAATGGTCACTCAAGAACATGTTGTTTAATTTTAATATATTTGTGTACTTTCCAAAGTGCATTTTGGTGTTAACTTCTAGTTTTATTCCCTTGTGGTCTGAGAAGATACTTGATATGATTTCAATATTTTTAAAATTTGTTTAGACTTCTTTTCTTTTTTTGGCCTAACATATGGTCTATCCTGGAGAATATTCCATGTGTTCATGAGAAGAATGTGTATTCTGCAGTTGTTGGATAAAATGTTCTGTAGTTGTCTGTTAGGTCCCTTTCGTCTAAAGTCCAGTTTAAGTCTAATATTTTGTTGTTGCTTTTTTTGTCTAAATGATTTGTCTAATGCTGAGAGTGGGCTGTAGAAATACCCAACTATTACTGTATTAGAGTCTCTTTCTTTAGATCTAGTAATATTTGCTTTATATATCTAGGTGCTCTTGTGTTTGGTGCATACATATTTTGAATTGTTATATCCTCTTGGAAGACTGATCTCTTTATCATTATAAAATGACAATCTTCATCTATTTTTTACTGTTTTGCCTTAAAGTCTGTTTTACCTGATATAAGCAGAGCTACTCCTGCTAGTTTTTGGTTTCCATTTGTGTTGAAAGTCTTTTTCCATCCCTTTACTTTCAATTTATATGTGTCTTTACAGGTGAGGTGAGTTTCTTGAAGGCAGCATATAGTTGTATCTTTAAAAAAAAAAATTAGCACAGGGTCAGTATTCAAGGATCATTTTTTTAAATGTATTCCGCCAGTCTATACTTTTTAAGTGGAGAATTTAATCTATTTATATTCAAGGTTATTATTGATGTATGAGATTTTGTTTCTATCATATTGTTAATTGTTTGTTGCTTGTTTAATGTGTTCCTTGTTTCTTTCTTTTTCTTTTATTGTTTGTCATTGTGGTTTGGTGGTTTACTGTAGTGGTGGTATTTGAGTTCTTTCTCTTTCTCATCTGTGTGTTTGCTTTACCAGTGCATTTCATACTTTTGTGTTTTCATGATGGTAAATGTCATTCTTTTAGATTTAGGATTCTCTTGAGCATTTCTGCCAAAGCTGACCTAGTGGTCATGCATTTTCTCAAGTTTTGCTTGTCTGGGAAATGCTTTATTTCTCTCTCATTTATGAAGGATACTTTTTCTGATTATAGTATTCTTGGCTAGCAGTATTTTTTTCTCTTTCATCTTTGAATATATCCATCTTTGAATATATTCAACTTTGAATATATCCATCTTTGAATATATTCAACTTTGAATATATCCATCTTTGAATATATTCAACTTTGAATATATCCATCTTTGAATATATTCAACTTTGAATATATCCATCTTTGAATATATTCAACTTTGAATATATCCATCTTTGAATATATTCAACTTTGAATATATCCATCTTTGAATATATTCAACTTTGAATATATCCCATTATCTCCTGGCCTATAAGGTTTCTGCTAATAAATCTGCTGTTAGGCTGATGGGTTTTTTAAGGCATTGATGCTTTACTCTTGCATCTAGTCTTTTTTAGAATAATTCCTTTGTCTTTGAGTTTAGACAGTTTGACTATAATATACCATGAAGAAGACCTTTCTGCATTATATCTGTTTGGAGATCTCTGAACCTCCTCTATCTGATGTCTAAATCTCTTGCTAGATTTGGGAAGTATTTTTCTATTATTTGAGTAATTCAGTTTTCTATCCCTTTCATTTTCTCTTTTCTCTCCAGGATACTGATAACTCAAATATTTTGTCACTTTATGGTGTCCATGAATGCTTTGCTCATTCTTTTTTACTTTATTTTTTTCTTGTTATTTCAAAAGATGCGTCTTTACATCTTGAGATTATTTCTTCTGCTTGATCTAGTCTATTTTTGAAACTTTCAATCTATTTTGTTCAATGAAATCTTCACTTCTAGAAACTCTGCTTGGTTCTTTTTTTTTTAATGATGCTTGTCTCTTTGACAAAGTTCTTATTCATATCCTAAATTGTTTTTCTCTGATCTCTTTGTGTTGTTTTTCAGTATTCCCCTGTATCTCACCAAGCTTCTTTAAAATAAATATTTCAAATTGTTTTTCTGAGATTTCACAAATTTGTTTTCGATTGAGATCTGTTCTGGAGAACTATTGTATTCATTTAGTGGTGTCATATTTCCTTGCTTTTTCATTTTCCCTGTGTTCTGACCTTGATATCTGCACATCTGATGTAATAGTCACTTCCTCCCATTTTTAAAATTTGCTTTTGTAGGGCAGGACTTTTTCCTGAAAGTTTTGTTTGAGTAGGGCACTTTGGCTTTGATTCTGGGTGCATGCAGTAAAGTTGTCTCTGTATGAACTATCTGGCTATAAACAGCATCATTGTTATTTATTATTTCCTCAGTGACTTACGATATGGTTATTATTGGAGGCTGTGGTAAGGTTTTGCGGGGGACTTGAATGCCAGATGGACTGGCCTGCAGGCCCCACTGGTGGCAGTGATTGGCTGAGTATACACATCCTTGAGCACCAGGGTGGTGTATACCTGCACTGGAGCTAGCAGATCCACATGGTTCACTTCTTGGCCCTTCAGGTGATTTATTCAGATGCCCACAGTAGCAGCAGTGGGATGGGAAGCTGGTCAGGGTCTCGAGTCCCTGGGCAGTTGGTGTGTGGGTGATGGCAGTGTCAGGGGCAGGATAGTCCTGTGGAGCAGGAGTGAACAGTGCATGCTTGTGTTGACAGTGGCTGTGGTGGGCTTAGGAAAGCCAGTCTACAGTCCCCCAGGTGGCACATGCAGATAGGTGGTGGTAGCAGCAGGGTGGGTAGGCTCAATCTCAAGCCCCAAAGATAAGTGCTCAGGTGCCAACAGTGATGGAATGGGCTGGGAAATCCACTGGTTCCTGGACTGCATATTCTGGCATAAGGAAAGGGGTGGTTAGACTGGGTGAACTTTTCCTCAGGCCTCTGGGTGGTGTGTGCAGTTACCAGCTATGCTAGGCAGGGGTGAGGTAATCCGTAAACCCTTGGTAGGATACACAGGTGAGAAATGGTAGTGGTTGTGCTGTAGCCCTGCCACTGGGTAGGGTGGGGCTGTCTTCACTGGAAGTATTGTAAGTTGGTGGGTGGGAACATGCACACCACTTGCTCCTCAGGACCAAAAAGGTGGTGACCTATTCCTTGCTTGCATTTCAGTCACAGTGGCAGTAGCCCATACTTTGCTTGTGCCTCATCTCTGACACCACTGGGACCCAGGACAGTAGGCCATCTGTTGGTGGCAGGGCTCTAAAATGGTGCCTTGGTGTAGCAGCTTAGTTCTCAGGGAGTCTGTGGGACCCAGCATGAGCTTCCCTCTGGAGCAATGCCATTGCACAGTCTCTCAGCAGCTCTGTATGTTAGTTTTGAGACCCATGAGGCTCAAGGGGCTCTCTCATGGCTAGGATTGCAGAAGTTCACAATGGGAATATAGACCACTGGGGGTCTTTCATTTACCCTTCCCTTGCATTGAGGAGTATCTTCCAGTTCACTCATGGTCTCCGACTCACAGGCTTGCTTTAGGTATGCCTTCTTCTTCCTTCTATTAGGTGTATCCTGTCACTTTTCTGTTGAATTCTAGTGTTCTCTTTTGGATGATCTATTTGAAGTGTGATTATCTACTCGCTATTTTGGTTTTTAGGGGAGGAGGTAAGCACTGGTGGTAGCAGCAGGGTGGGTAGGCTCAATCTCAAGCCCCCAAGGTGCTGGTACCAGCACCTATCTGCATGTGTCATCTGGAGGACTGGAGACTGGCTTTCCTAGCCCACCACAGCCATCGCCAACACCAGCATGCACTGTTGTACCTTTTCTATGTTTGAATATGTTTATATACACAAATACATTGTTTTACAATTGCCTACAGTATTCAGTACAGTAACGTGCTCTATAGGTTTGTAGCCTAAGAGCAATAAGCTATACCATATAGCCTCAAAGCAATAGGCTATACCATCTGTGTGCCACTACATTCTATATTTGCACAATGATGAAATCGCCTAATGACACATTTCTCAGAATGTTTTCCTGTCACTAAATTACACATGACTATATTTTGAAACCTATGAAACAATGAAAGTCCCTGTTTCTCTGTATCCTGCTTGTTTTTCTCAAGCAAAGTATTGGTCATGCTTACATGGTGGCAAAGCATCCAGCTAAAATGTAAGAGGTTAAACCTTTATCCAGACAATTTAAGCATGAAATAACAGATGCAGAACATCTGGAAAAAGGATAATCATTCTGGATGTTTCTGATACGCTAAGGTTTTCTACAGTTGAATCAATAGCCTTTTCATCCTCATTGCAATTGTATCTGTCCCAAGAGAAGGTCTTTTTCATTGTGTTTTGTTTTTTGGTTCAGAGCGTCTGGCTACAGCTGTTTTATCAAAGTAGCATGGTGACCACTGCTCAAAAATGAGAGTTCTATCTTGGCTTCAGAGATTAAGGAAACTTGGAGGCTGTAGAAAGCTTGTTTTATTTGAGGTTTATACCACAGTTGGCCTAGACTTCCCTGGGAAAACTGGTCTTTATTTTCTGTGTTCCATAGCAAACCTGGGAATAGCCATGGTCCAGAAAATTATATATGTAGGTCATATAAAGTAACCCTACCCAATCAAGTGCTTCAGAACAAAATGTAATAGCTTAAAGAAAGAAAGAGGTAGAACACAGGGAGGGAGAGGCATCCCCAGAGCCCAGAGCCAAGCCTTCAAGAAAAATGGTCATCATTGTCATTGTCATCATCATCATTGTCATCATTGCAGAAAAATGTTTCACTTAATATATACTAGCCCCTATTCTAAGTATTTTGCATATATGAACTCACTTTAGTACTAACAACTATGCTGTGAATAGGTACTATTATAGTCCCTACTTCACAGATTAAGAAACTGAAGCATAAGAAAGTCTGGACTTAACAAGTAATATAGAGTTTTGGATTTATGGGTAATAGAGAGCCATTGAATGTTTTAAGTAAGGAAGTAGCATTGTCTGCTTTACATTTCAAATCACTTAGGCATTTATTTTTTATTATTTATTATGTATTTATTTATTTATTTTTGAGACAGAGTCTTGCTCTGTCACCCAGGCTGGAGTGTAGTGGCACAATCTTGACTTACTGCAACTTCCGCCTCCTGGGTTCAAGCAATCCTCCCACCTCAGCCTCAAGAGTAGCTAGTATTACAGGTGTAAGCCACCACACCCAGCTAATTTTTTTTTTTTTTTTTTTTTAGTAGGGACAGGGTTTCATCATGTTGGCCAGGCTGGTCTCCATCCCCTGACCTCAAGCAATCCACCTGCCTCGGCCTCCCAAAGTGCTGGGATTACAGGCGTAAGCCACCATGGCTGGCCTAGGCATTTTAAATCATGTGGGAGAATAGAGGAAGAAAAACCAGGCTAGAGGTGATAAGAACTCCAGAGGAAGTGGTGAGGGGGAAAGAGCAGAGAAAGGGATTGGTTTGCTAAATAATTTGCTTAAATGTACAATATTGGGTAATTGAAGGTTTCAAGGAAAAGGGGTAGCTGAAGAAATCAATGTCCCAAGTAAAGTAAATGTATAGAGAAAAGAAAGCAGGTACATTTTAATGCTCAATCTTATGGATTTCTGACTAATGCCTTGATATTAGCAGGCCCATTTTGCTCTATGAAGGAGGTTTTCATTTGACTGGGTCTTTCCCCATTATTTTGATTAAAGACAGGGTGGGGAAGATTCTCTGAAAGACATTTTTGTTTTGAAGGTTCTCTGCCAAATAAGAAAGAGGAAATAAGACACTAAACTAAGACCAATCAAATCAATCAAGTCAAACCCTCTCAGTTTGATAGCTGTGGAGGGACCTGCCTGAATTTGCCTTTTACAGAGAAAGTTTCCCAGGGCTCTTATGTTAATTAGGGAATTTGAGTTTGCTACAGATGATTGCATTATCATCCCAGACAGGACAGCTAAACCCTTCTGTGCAAGAGAAAGAAAGCCATTTACATATCTCTCCAATCACGTTTTAAAAGATTTTAGAGATTATAGGTAATTTCCCATTTATTGTCAGGTCTATCCTAAAGCACATTCATAGGTAAATGCAAGTGGGTCATTTCTAGTCCCTTATTTTTGATGTTTCCAAGGAAAGGGAAGAGAAGAAACAAATTTTCATCTAGTAAGACATTGCTAGAGAAGCATCAATTGAGTTTGCTTCCTGTGTATGAGTCCTAACTGTAGTTTTTTCTTTAACTTTGGAGTTTTCTTTTAGGCTGGACTCCAGATTGAAACATGCCATGATAATTTGAATTCATTTCATGGCTCCTGTAAGTTGGCAGACAACCAGAGTAGTTATCTGAATGGTTGTTGTGTTTGGTAGATGCTGTTTTCCCCCTTACACCTCAACAAACACTAATATATTTAATTTTATTCAAGCAGATCATACATTTGAGGATAACTTGGACTATAGGGAAATTTGCATTCCAAATTTTAGCATAATAAATCTTCTATGAATTTCTATAAAACCCTTATGAAGATTGTAGAAAGTCTTGAAAAATAACCGAAGGATTTCCCCTAGATTAACTTGTAGTTAGTAATACCTAGAATGGCTTTGAAGATGAAAGTAAAAATAAAATAAATTATTTATAAGTTCTGTGGTCATTTGGCTCTCTATTCACCCTAGACACTAAAGATACCAAGTCACAAATCACTTCCTTATGCTTGACTTAGAGGCATGAAGAATAATTCTTCCTGCCTCATTTTTGGTACAGTCCTAGGTAATGGAAAAATACAGTGATGATGATATAACCATCATCTCTCCTACTTTGAGCCATTTCAGACTTAAAGCCCTGTGTTTTTCAGGCCATTGTTAAACATTATACATCGTTGTGTAATTTCTAGGGCCAGTGTTATACTCAATCATTTATTTGTGACTTCAGTGTTAATATTCCTATTGTTTCTACTTATTAATTACTTCCAATGTGCCAAGCACTCCTCTAGAGCTAAGTTATGTACAAGTCAGGTAATCCTCACGATGACTTTATGAGTTAGGTACTATCATTATCCTGATTTTACCTAAGAGAAAAGTGAAGCACAAATAAATTATGTAACTTCTTAGGGCCACATTGCAAGCAATGGATTAGAGTTTGGACCAGTATCTTTTTGACTGTCATAAGTTTAGGGAAATGACCCAGATGTCCTAATCTGACATTATAGATCAAGGATTGGAATCCACTGCAATTTCAAAGACTTATGCATTCAACTATTATGTTAAACTGATTCCGTATATGTATGTGTGTGTGTGTGTGTATATGTGTGTATATATATATATATATATATATGACTCCTATATATGTGTGTGTCATAAACTGACTCCTATATGTATGAGTCATAAACTGACATATATGTGTGTGTGTGTATATATATGCTGAAATTCTACCATGCGTGATCCACGGCATTAGTTTGAAGCCTTTTGATGCTTCATTAGCTGTTCCTTAAAGGGCATTCAGCTATTATCAGACTGGTTACACCTGAAGGGGAATCACTTTTTCTTTGTTGGCTAGGTGAGATCAGATGAAAGAGTTTTGAAATTATATGTCAACAGTTCTCAAATTTCTTAGTTTCCAGACCCCTTTATACTTTAAGTTTTTAAAGATCTCAAAACTTTTGCTTTGTGAGCATCACCTCATATAACATTTTTTAAATGTCTCTTTTTATTTAATGCAATTGCATTAAATAAAATGTAACTGCATTGTCTCAAGATGGCATTTGAAAATTTGAGAGATGTCTAAATGCACCAGCCAAAAGTATACAATACTGTCCACCTTAGTCCCTAGAGCCATCTTGTTTTGGCTGCTCAGTGTCCATGCAAGTATCATGCCAAGTTTATTATTCCTTCAGAGATGCAGACCTCTCTTTTAGATGAGGAAAAACCAAAACCTCTATCTCTCTTTTAAATTAACAAACGCAGATATTGTTACCTGTATTCTATTCTAGAATTCTGTCAATTTTATTTCTGCTCTAGAATATTCTCAATTTAACCTGATGTTTTAAAGGTCCTCTCTATCTGTGTAATTCAACTTGATTCCTAAGTTACACCAGTGAATAATTCTCACCTTTGGTGTATTTACACTTCTTAAAATTTAATCGACTTGTTTCTCCTTTTGCAGTATTTTAACTGAAATTCCTTATTAACCACAGATTCCTAGGTTAAACTTGGACTCTTGATTCGGTTCCTTACTTAGGAACCAAAATCAAAGATGATTGAAATGTTTGAAATACAACTTGCCATCAGCCCTGAATATTTCTTCAGATTTCTCCTCACCCTGTATTGGTTGGATTTGCTTATTTTCCAACTATTTGATGTATGCCAAATCTGATGACATGTGGCTCTGCTTCAAAGTGTAAATCAATACTTTCAGGTAATATGCACCCTTATAAAAATATAGAAAATCCACTCATAAGCATATATACCATGCCTCTCTTAGTCATATACTGTGTCATATCAGTTTGAAAAGGAGAATGAGCTCTGATCCCAAGACTCAGGTCACCTGGAAAAGCTGGAATTAGTGACAAGGATGAAACTGGAGGCCTGGCTCCAATGTCTTCAGGGAATATAGATGCTTCACCTTCAGGCTTCTTTACCTTCCCCAAGAAAGTATTCTGCCTACAATTTTGGGGTAGTAGTGAATCATGATCAAATATCGAGGAGGAATCTTTGTATCCACAGTGCTTTCCAGACTTCTCTCAATTTGAAAGACCACAGAAACTCTTTGGCAGCTATTTGCGCATGACCAGTCACCCAAACTTTCTGCTTTCTATGACAGTTCCAGGGACTCTATACTGGAATTACTTGCCTGGTATAGATACGGTCATTAATTGAAAACGGTCATGGGAATGAGATACTTTGTTTATATGTGAGATAAATCAGTAAGATAAATAAGATACTGGTAAGTGCCAGAGCTCAAGTTAAGGCCTTTTCATTAAAATTATACAGCATTTTCCTCCCCAGACACTTATAAACAGAAAAGCTGACCATTATTGTCAAAGGGTGGAGGCAAGAACAGTGCTTTTTGGCCATCAGACTTTGTCAGAAAGCCAATCATATTTTTTAAGGAAATTATTTACTTTGGGCTTCACTTTCTCAAATTCCAAGATTTCAATGTAATTTTTTGTCCTGTTTCATTCATAGTGCTAAGATACTATTTGTTCATTACGAGAAAATGAAATGTTTTCTTCAAAGTAAAACTAATGCATGAGACAGAGTCACATGATTAGCTCTGTAAATGACAATTACTCAAATTTCTCTCAGTTAAAAATACCAAAACAATACATCACAATCAATGGAAACATTTTTATTGCCTGTTTTACATGTGAACATTTACAAATATCTTCATACTTGTAGCAATCCAACAGATCACATTGATATCTATTTTAGGTTTCTCATAAAGCTATGTGGGGACAGAGAAATGTGTGCTTTAAAGATAGTATAGCTGAAGCAATTTCAGTTTTCTATTTTTCATTTTTTGAGACAGGGTTTTGCTCTGTTGCCCAGGCTGGAGTGCAGTGGTGTGATCATGGTTCACTGCAGCCTCAACCTCCTGGGCTTAGGCAATCCTCCTGCTTCAGCCTCCCAAGTAGCTGGGACCACAGGCATGTGCCGCCATGACTGGCTAATTTTTTTAACTATTTGTAGAGACGGGATCTCCCTATGTTGCTCAGTCTGGTCTCAAACTCCTGGGCTCAAGCAGTCTGCCTGCTTCAGCCTGCCAAAGTGCTGGGATTACAGATAGACATGAGCTATTGTGCACAACCACAATTTCAGTTTTGAAGCCAACTTTTAGTAATTGGGTACTTAAAATGGCAACTTAGCTTGGTACAGGTTATGTTACTTTTCATTTTTTATAATGGAATTATAGTTCTTAAGAAGGAAGAAACTATGGAATTGCTTATGGAATAGTGATATACACAGAGCATCCTGTTGGTAGAGAAAAGTCGATGGAGTAGACAAGTGGAAACATTTCACTGGGAGTTGGTCTTGTCTAAGTTGATTCTCAGGAACGCATCTCCTAAGCCTCTTCTACTCCCCTCCCGCGTGTTTCCGTCTGTGGACTTGACCCTTATCCTCACGCCCTGAAGCTGGTGATCACTCTGACGTTGGGTTCTAATGTTTTGTTTTGCTTCCCAGGAAAAGCAGCACAGGCATTACCGTGTAATTTCTATTGTTCTTATGCTTGCTATTTTTCTCTCTAAAAAATAGACCCCAGACACCACTCCACAACCCCTGGGGCCAAGAGATGATTAGCGATCCAGAAATTGTTAAGAGTTGCATCACATGTCCATTAACCACTCATATTTTTTTCCCAATCCAGCATGAAATGACAGAAAAGTGACTCTCTTACTTTTTAAGCCAGGCCTTTGATTCATATGTTAGAGAATCTAATTTTTAAAAACTTGTCATACATTTGGGGCTGTATTCTGTCATGAGAGAATGACAACCATAAAGTTAAAGTGTGTCCAAAGGCTAGCAGTAATGATTGACAAATACATGCTTGCTAGACCCATTCATTACATGAAGTGATTCAGATGTAAGTGTTCTTTTAGGATTTATGGTGTGAGAATGGACCCTGTTTTCTTGAGGAGTAAGGAAGCTGCTCAATTAAGCTTTCTTTTCTGTAGATGCTTCTGTTTATTTGGGGGCTTTTAAAAATTGTTGTTGTCGGTCTCTATAATAAACAGAAATCTGCCTCCTTGTAATGAATACCATTGTTTTACTTCTTATCACTGAAGCTCAGTGTTCAATTCTTCTTTCATATCACTGCTTCAGATCTTTCTGTCTGGCATAATCTTTTAAGTCTTTTCTTTCTCAGCAGAATATTCTCAGGGTCTCCAATTATTGCCCCTTCTGGAAGAGCTTCAACACATCAGTGTTTCTCTTCAAATGGGATTTGGGACACAGTTGTGGCCACAGAGATGTTTTTCACAGCATTACTCACAGAGGTGAATAATTAAAAAATGTTGAACAAAATAAATGATTAAATAATGATACATTCTCACAACAGACTGTTATGAAATCTTTAAACTAGTCTGATTATGGGAAAATATTCAAACTACATGATATTAGAGACAAACACCACACAATCTCACTCATATGTTGAATCTTTAAAAAGCTGATTTCATAGAAATAGAGAGAATACTGGTTATCAGAGGCTGGGGAGGGAAGGGTGTCCAGGGAAGATTGGTTAATGCATACAAAGTTACAGATAAGAAGATAAGAAGAACAAGTTTTGGTGTTCTAATATGTAGCAGGGTGACTATAACAAATAACAATGTATTGTATATTTCACCATAGCTAGAAGATTTGAATGTTGTCATCACTCAAAATTAATAAATGTTTAAAGTGATGGGTATGGTAATTACCCTGCTTTGATCATTATACTATGTGTACACGCATTGAGACATCACACTGAACCCCATATGTGTGTACAATTATAAATAAAAAATAGGCCAGGCATGGTGGCTTATGCCTGTAATCCCAGCACTTTGGGAGGCTGAGCGGGTGGATCACCTGAGATCCGGAGTTCAAGACCAGACTGGCTAACATGGTGAAACCCCATCTCTATTAAAAATACAAAAATTAACTGGGTGTGGTGATGGGCACCTGTAATCCCAGCAATTTGGGAGGCTGAGGCAGGTGAATCACTTGAACCCGTGAGACAGAGGTTGCAGTGAGCTGAGACTGTGCCTTTGCACTCCAGCCTGGGTGACAGAGTGAGATTCTGTCTCAATAAAAAAGAAAGAAAGAAAGAAAGACCCATAGACACAGAAATAAATTCGTGGCTTACCAGGTGCTGGAATGGGGATTAACTGAAAAGGACAGGAGAGAGATGTGAGTTGATGGAGATGTTCCAAAACTGGATTTTGTAATGGTAGCATGGCTGTAAATTTACTAAAAATTATCATTTAATAGTGCATTTAAAATGGGTGGAGTTTATGATATTTAAATTATGCTTCAATAAAACTGTTAAGATTTAAAAAAAAAAAAAGAATATATGAATTAACTTTTCTTTGTATTTCTCCAGTTACTATTATCAAACAAACCTCCAGGAGATTCAAAACAGAACAGAGAGTCACAGTCAATGAAAAGACAAATTATGTTCTGGGTTATAGCTTTTCTCCCAGACCAACAATAGTTTAAGTTACACTTCTCCCCATGTATATTCTTATGGAACTTGTCATTCACTCTACCTTGCAATCCATTTTCTTTGAAAATTGCTTGAGAACCGCTTAACACTAATACTGAAAATGTAATAGTAATTTTATTTTACTTGCTGCACGACAATATTGCTGAAGTCAATTACTATTTCTTGCCTTAATATTTACAGGCATCTTATGTGATCGAAGTTGTCACAAAGGGAAGAAACTTAACATTTTATTGGTGTATACAGTAGAAATGTTTACTACGATTGTGGGAATGACTGGGTAACCACTTTTCATGCATGTCACAAAGCAGCAGAAATCCCCGTGAAAACTGGATGACTGATATTCACTCATTTTTCAATGAGCTTTTACAATTAAGAATCACTTGACATTGAGCATGAAATGTGAAATGTACAATTTTGTTTTAGAAAAACATAGTTGACATTTTAGTGATTAGGAGCTCTATATCATAGGGCATATTTTTAGGTATTGTGTTTAAGAATGTGTGACTATTGTCTTTAAAATCCTACCTGCATGTTGTTAGGGAAACACATTTCTATTTCATTTTTTTAAAATAATCGTTGAAAGTTATTTTTTGAAATCCTAGGGGGAATTTTTCTCCTTAAACTTCTGTTTCTTTTTTAACTTTTGTCCAAACAACCCACAAAAATCTTCAAATCATAATGAATAGCATTGATTTTCAGACTTTCATATTTCTTCTGCTTTTTATCTTTTACATAGCAACAATCCATCATCTTTTGGGCCAATTTTAGCATTCTTTTGTTTTTCTGCAATTTCTTCATTCTGTAATATTTGCTACCAACTCAGCTAAACCTGGTATTGGCATCATCTTGGGGACTGATTGGTCAGTGTTGAGATCACTCTTGGAAAATTGTATTGCAAGGAGGGTCTCCATCAGTTTTCCCTTTTTAATCAGTACCTATGCGGGAGTTTGAACTTGTATTTTAATCCCATAAGGCTAGATGTTAAATTTTTAGTGTTCAGGGCTCTTTTTTTGTTCATTATTCATTAGTTCATTCATTCACTCAACCAGCCAATGTTTATGAAAACCTACCATAGTGCCAGGTACTGAAAGTATGGAAATGAGAGACATAATCTCTACCACAAGAGATTCTCTAACAAACCAACTGACAGTAAAAATATAAGTTCTATTATGGAGAAAAGGAAGCAAGGTAGGGCACTTAACACATTGGAAAAAGGAGTCACGGTGACTTTCTACATAGTCTTTCAATTAAGCCTTGAAGAAATAAATCAGTTGGAGGAGAGAGAGAAGGAAACAGAAAGAAATGCTTATGCCAAGTTGTAGATACACAAAATAACATGGTGGGTTTTAGAAACTCAAGGTAGTTCAGCTTACTAGGAATGGGATACATGGAAAAAAAATGATATTGGTGAAAGCTTGGGCAGGTTGTGTAAACTGTTTCTTCCTTATCAATAAAGTGGAGACAGTGGATACAGGTTGCTTAACAGAGTACAGACATATAATACATGCTTCAGGTTTCTTTAGTGGTGAAAGTAAGAGTTTCATATAAGGACTAAGGAAAACCTCCCAATTAATTTTCAATCTTTTCATGAAATTCTAAAGCCTGACAATTTGGACTCAGATAGATGTATGCTTCTTGTTAATGTTTTGAAGTGTTTACTAATTATGAGGGGTCTTTGTTCATTTTTTTGTTTGTTTGTTTTCTGGAATCATTAGGATATAGCAATTACAGTTGGAAGGCAGAACACCATTAGTGGTTGATAGGTCAGGCTTTTGAAGTCAGACTTGCAAATTTCTTGTTTCTAATCTGCAAAATGGGGATAATAATAGTATATCTAACTCACTGTTTTTCTGAGACTTGAAAGTGCTTGGCAGAGTACCAAGCACCTAGAAAGCCTTCTGAAATGGTAGAATGGTAGCTGAAAGTCACAATCTTCCTCTCCTTTCCTTTCCTTTCCTTTCTCCTTCCTTCCTTCCTTCCCTTCCCTTCCCTTCCTTCCCTTCCTTCCCTTCCTTCCCTTCCTTCCCTTCCTTTCTTCCTTCCTTCCTTTCTTTCTTTCTTTCTTTCTTTCTTTCTCTTTCTTTCTTTCTTTCTTTCTCTCTCTCTCTCTCTCTCTTTCTTTCTTTCTTTCTTTCTTTCTTTCCTTCCTTCTTTCCTTTCCTTTCTTTCTTTCCTTCTTTCTTTCTTTCTTTCCTTCCTTCCCTTTCTTTCTTTCCTTCTTTATTTCTCTTTCTTTCTTTCTTTCTTTCTTTCTTTCTTTCTTTCTTTATTTATTTCTTTTCTTTCTTTTCTTTCTTTCTTTCTCATTCTGTTATCCAGACTGAAGTGCAGTGGCACAAACTTGCCTCACTGCAGCCTCGACCTCCCAGGCTGAATCTATCCTCTGCTTTCTGAGTAGCTGGGACCACAGGTGTGTGCCACCACAGCCAGCTAATTTTTGTATTTTTTGTAGAAATGAGGTCTCACTATGTTGCCCAGGCCAATCTCAAATTCCTGGGGTCAAGAATTCCACCCGCCTCGCCCTCCCAAACTGCTGAGATTACAGGCGTGAGCCACTACCCCCAGCCTGGTCTTGTTTTCAGTGGTAAATTAGTACACGTGTTTTCCCTCAACATTGGGGTGATAAAATAGCTCTGGTATATATTTTTACCATTTAAGTTTTTATTCACCACCTTTAAAGTTTTCCTATTTCTTTTCTCCATTTAGTTAATAAATTAAGTAGACTATTCTGGTAAGTGCCTCTGAAATCAAAAAGCTTTCAAGTTTTTCAAAACTGCAAGTTGGCCGGGCGCGGTGGCTCACGCCTGTAATCCCAGCACTTTGGGAGGCCGAGGCGGGTGGATCATGAGGTCAGGAGATCGAGACCATCCTGGCTAACAGGGTGAAACCCCGTCTCTACTAAAAATACAAAAAATTAGCCGGGCGCGGTGGCGGGCGCCTGTGGTCCCAGCTACTCGGGAGGCTGAGGCAGGAGAATGGCGTGAACCCGGGAAGCGGAGCTTGCAGTGAGCCGAGATTGCGCCACTGCAGTCCGCAGTCCGGCCTGGGCGACAGAGCGAGACTCCGTCTCAAAAAAAAAAAAAACAAAAACAAAAACCAAAAAAACTGCAAGTTATGTTAGTGAGCCACAGAATCAATTTAGTGGTTAACAACTAGCACTTTGTTTTTATAAAATAGAAAGGATCATAGTTGAAAATATGGGGTGTGGAGGAATAGGTAAGAGTACTGTTTCACATTAAATTTTGTTTCAGGTATATGTATATGAAATCATTATGTATAATCTATTTCCTTCTGTGGTTCTTGGTCAAAGATTTTGAAAGTAATTGCTCTAAAGCAGTGTTCCCCAACCTTTTTGGCACCAGAAACCAGTTTCATGGAAGACAGTTTTTCCATGGACTGAGGTGGGGGATGCTTTGAGGATGATTCAAGGGCATTACATTTATTGTACACTTCATTTATATTATTACATTGTAATAATAATACAATAGTTATACAACTCACCATAATGTAGAATCACTGGGAGCTCTGAGCTTGTTTTCCTGCAACTAGATGGTCCCATCTGGGGGTGATGGGAGACAGCGACACCCAAAGTGTGTTGCTTATGTCCAGTCTACACCATAATCTCATTTTGATTGCTGTCGCTGCAGAAAACCCTGCTTCACAAACATAAGATGTTGGAAATGGAAGCAGGCTTTTCAGTGCTTTTGTGGCAAACTCAGGATATTCCATCTTGATTTTAATTCAGAACATACGGAGGTTTGAAGTTGTCTCAAACATACTTTTAAGGTCATCACCATTTGTGATTTCAAGCAATTGACCCTCTTCTAGCATGGACAAAGTCGATTCACCTGGCTTATTAACAAGTGGGTCGCGGATCCATTCCTTTCCAGTTCGCGGGTATTTTATGGTTGGGGAGTAATACTCAAACTCTTTGAAAGCTGAGATAGATGATCATGCACCAGCTGGGAGAAAGAAGGCCCTGGCTCCATCTCTTTCAAACCCTCTGCTAATGTTTGAAACATGTCAGAAATTCCAATGTTCACTCATCGCCCCCATAATTCCAGTTTGGCTTTGATTGCGGTTACTGTATCTGCCGACTTGAACACAGTTGTCATTCTCCCCTGAAGTGACAGATTGAGTTAGTTGAGCAGGTTGAAAACGTCACACAAGTTAAGCAAGTTTTGCAACGCATTCTGTGTCATTGAAATGTGCTGCCAGTGATGACTGTTTTTCTAAAAGAAATCTCTGGAGCAGCTGTCGTGACTCAAAAACTCTGGCCACTGATCCAACTCTAGAAAGCCATCTCACTTCGGTGTATGAGAAGGCATGTGTGCTGTGTGTCCATCTCCTCTCAGAGCTGCACAAACAGACATGAGTTAAGGGCATGTACTTTAATGCGGTTAATTTTAATCACATCCTGCAAAACATTATGTCTAGGTGACGTTTCTCAGCTAACCAGCATTTTATCATGGATGACACAGTGCATAGACTCAGACTGAGAAGCAACCTCTTTGACCTGGGTAGCAAAACCAGAAAGCCAACCAGTCATGGCAGCTGCTCTGTTCATAAATATACTGACACAAAATGACCAGTTCAGATTTCCCGATAGACTTGAATAGTTCTGCAGCTGTGCTGTTGGTTGGCAACAAAAGTGCACATAACATACCCTCATGCACATCCTCCCGAAAAATGTATCTCACAAAAACAAGCATTATTGCCTTATTGTCAATATTGGTAGGCTCATCAACCTGGATTGCATACCATGGTGACTCATTAATCTTCTCTACCAGTTGTGCCTCAGTATCCTCTGCTATTCATCAAATCGTCTAGTTATGTTGCTAGCCGAAAGAGGAACGTGTGCTATCTTTCGAACTGCAGCCTCTCCTAAAAGTTCATGACAAATGTCCTTAGCAGCAGGCAGGATCATCTGTTTACCAACAGTAAAGGGCTTCGGAGCTTCAGCGCTGTGGTTAGCCACTGAATGATGCTGTCAGTGCAGACACATTTGATGAAGTGGTGGCCTTCAATGATTTCTTCTGTTCTTTGTGTTCACGTGTTTTTCTATTGAAAAACTCCAAAGGCTTGTCTTTTAATTCAGCATGCTTGGTCTCCATGTGGCAAAGCAGTTTTGAAGGCTTCATGGCTTCTTCGTTGGATAGCCGGTCACCACATATTATACAAAAAGGGCTTGGAGAATGTAAATCACCTGTTGTGCTGAACCCATAATTTAAGTAGTATTCTTGGTATTTTATTTTAAATGCAACTTTCCTTTTGTTGGCATTCTTAGAGTCTTCTGCTGTCTCATCATTGGGTCTTTCCCCCTCTTCAAAGAAACTCTCCAGTTACATTTGTTTTCACTCATTTGTGCTAGGGTTAGCTTGTGGGCTTACCAAAACTCTGACTGAGACAAATGTGCAGTGCAGGGAAAGAGGCATGGATGGAGTGGTAAATAAACTAATAAACTAAATAAACTAATAGGTGGGCCATGCATGGACTAAAATTAGTGTCGGATTCTGACTTAAATCCTGCCACCAGATGCAGCTGTACAATTGAAGTACATCAACCCACTTGCCACTATAAAGCCTGCCACCAGATGCAGCTTAATTGTCACTTACCATTCACTGATAGGGTTTTGATATGAGTCTACAAGCAGTTGATTTGTTATGGTCTCTATGCAGTCAAAGCTCTCTGCTAAGGTTAATCTGTATTTGAAGCCACTCCCCTCAGTGTTGGCATCACTGCTGCAGTTCCACCTCTGATCATCAGGCATTAGATTCTCATAAGGAGCATGCAACCTAGATCCCTTGAGTGTGCAGTTCACAATAGCGTTCGCGCTCCTGTGAGAACTAATGCTGCTGCTGATCTGACAGGAGGTGGAGCTCGGGTGGTAATGCCAGTGATGGAGAGTGGCATAAATGCAGATGAAGCTTTGCTTGCTTGCCTGTTACTCACCTCATGCTGTGTGTGAGGAACATGTTTGTAACCAGTACCTCTCCATGGCCCAGGAATAGAGGACCCCTGCTGTAAAGGATAGAAAAGCAGGTTACAAGTTTCTCCCTTATTTGCATTATTATCCCAGATTGCAGTAACATCTAAATGAAGCTTGTCCAACCTGCGGCTGGTGAACCACATGCAGCCCAGGACAGCTGTGAATGTGGCCCAACACAAATTTGTAAACTTTCTTGAAACATTATGAGATTTTTTTTTTTGCAATTTTTCTTTTAAGCTTATCAGCAATCGTTAGTATTAATGTACTATATGTGTGGCCCAAGACAGTTCTTCTTCTTCTAATATGGCCCAGGGAAGCCAAAGATTGGATACCCCTGATCCTAGCAGATTAGAAAACAGTAAAGAAAGAGTTTGTTATAAACAGTGACCCCCATGTGATTTTAAAGAATATACTGTACAGGTTGTTTTGGGGATGCAACGGGAAAAATGCTGTCATTCAACTGTCTGCTGGAAACTCAGAAACTCTTGGTATTTGGAATTATGTAAATAGGACTTTGAAAAATAGGCTGAATTTTTTCCAATGATTTTATGAGCTTGTGCACGTGCACACCCATCGCAGTCAAGTACAGATAGCTTTAGGAGTGGGAAGCTCAGGAAGCAAACTTTGCTTTTCCCCTCTGTTCTTACATTAGCATCCATTCTAATTGTTGCTTATTTGGGGCAGCTAGGTTAATCGTATCTATCTGTTGTCCCCTACTGAGCTGATATTTTCTTTCACTGTAAGGTGTTTCCTAATTACTTTGTGAATAAAATTTTTTAGATTGAGTATAAAATTGAGCCCAAAGTTATGCTTGTAGCTAAAAATATGCTCTATTTAATGGTTCAGTTGGGGCCAGTTGTTTTATGTAAGGAACTCTGATTGGGCTGTGGTAAAACTGCACTTACTGACGCATGCCTCTCCTTGCTGGTGAAATTAATTTGGAATATGGTGAGTCCATAAAGACAGAGGAGTAAATGTTTCCCTTTTTAAACAGTAGTTTTCTTGGTTCCATTGTAGGAGTAATGCTTTGAGCCCTTAGTATTTTCCAAACTCTTATCAGCCTCTATAAAATTCCTATTTTTAGAGATTATGTCCAATGTAATGAATCTTGTTTATAAACTCATGTAGTCTTTACATTTAGTTTTTTATCAATAGATTTGGACCACTATGCTTAAAGCTAATCAGCAAGTGATTCTGACTAGCAGAACACCTTTGAATTTGAGCAAACGTACTGTGGTTCCAATTGTTGTCACTCAGAGGTACAAGAAGAGTTGAATTAATTCTCAGTGGCCTGAGTAAAGATCTAGAGGCAACCACTCACATATTTTAAAATAATAATAATAATTCTCTTGGAATTCTTCCAGGTCTGTTTTATTAACTTCCTACTTTCTATACTAAAAGAAAAAAATAGATTAGTAATATTGTTAACCTGATGATGATAGAAGACTTACTCCTTTTAAACAAATTTTCACCCTTTCTAACAGTTTAGCTGAACATCCTGAAGCAAGCGAGGGAAAATATAAAGCATTGCAAACTCAAAAGCACATATAAATCAAGTCACTTAAAATAATGGACTCAAGAAAAAAAAGAAAACATGATATTCCTGGTGAAGCTTTTGTTTTCACAACAAAATTTTCCCTGGTTACAGAAAAATATTTCTGAAGTATAAAAAAGTGAAGGCATAAACATGATAATGAATGACAACTGGCATCTTCATTATGGGGATAGAAGAGATTGGTGTGGTCTGTGGCAAAATGAAGAATGCATGCCCTGTCTTATCAGACATTATGCTCAGCTCCAGCAGATGGTTATCATTTGGGGAGTCAGAGCCGGCAGTTTTAGATTTTACTTTTTTCCCCAAAGAAGCCAAATCCAGATTTTTAACATGAAATGTCCCGGCTTATAAATGTTGGCTCAATTTTTTTGGACAGCATGTAGACCAAACAAAATTGATCCATAAGCTATTTGGCCTATTGGTTGTCAACTGATGACCCCTCCACTGTAGATTTTCTAACAAGAACAGATGGAACATTTTCTTTGCTAACCAGGGTAATAATTTAGAAGGGCTCTGGAACCCCCTCTTTTGAGGAAGCAGAACCCTCATGTCAGGATTTAATAAAAAATGTTTTGGTCATTAATTTATAAAATTTCATAGAATGCAAAAGTTTCTGGATTGATGACATATCACTTAGCTTGGAGAAGGAAGGCAAGATAACTAAGGCAGAATGAAATGTGTGTTTCAATAGAGATTTGGACAAAGCTCTGTGACAGTAATAAACCTACCCTAGGTACTAGCAAAGCTTCACAAAGGAAGTAACAAAAAAATGAGACTCTGAAATATTAATAGGATTTTTATAGAAAAAGAAGAGAGGATTTGCCAAGGGAGGAAAAAGTATAAGCATCTCTACAGTTACATTGTGGGCTTTGCTAAGTCTTAAGATGGTGATTGATTGGGTATAATTGGAAAGTAGGATACATGAGAACATATAATTAGGGCCAAAGGGACCTCAAATATCAGTCTACACATCTAAAACTTGATTATATAGTTAGGGGAGCCATTCAGGTTTAGACCAGGGAAGATACATCATCTGATCTGAGATTATCTGATCTGCATGTTCTTATTCCAAATCTTGGTTTGAGTTCCCTTAAAGTAATTGGACACTTTCTGTAAGGAATTGGATAAAAATAAGGACCCTACCTAGATACTGGCTAAAAAGCTATATGATATCTGGAGATACTGACAATTCTTAAGAATCGACTTTACACTAGTCATGATAAATCACATCCTTGTGATTTCCATATGAAGCTAGAAAGCAATGTTCAAGAGGCTATCAGAATACCTGGTAATTTCATGGAATACTACACAGCCATAAAAAAGAATGAGATTCTATCCTTTGCAGCAACATGGATGAAGATGGAGGCCATTATTCTAAGAAAACTAAACTAATTCAGGAACAGAAAATGAAACACTACATATTCTCACTTGTAAGTGGGAGCTAAACATTGAATTCACATGGACACAAAGAAGAGAACAATATACACCAGGGCATACTTGAGGGAGGTGGGTGGGAGGAAGCTAAGGATTGAAAAACAACCTGTTAGGTACTATGCTTATTATCTGGCTGACAAAATAATATGCACACCAAACCCCCATGACATGTAATTTATGTATAAAAACAACCTGTGCACATACCCCTGAAACTGAAATAAATGTTAAGAAAAAGAATGCCTGGTAATTTGACTGGCATGCAGAACATAATAGCCTGTCCTGCATTTGGGTTCTGTGCAGAGAATATTGCACCTCTATTAGAATCAACTAATATAAGTCATGAAAACAAAAATTGATGGAATTAGGTTGAAATAGACTGGAAAGGAAATGTGATGACCTTAATTATTTTAGCAAAAAAAAAAAAAAAAAGAGGTTAGATATATGAAGTTGCCACAGTATGAAAGTGGAATGAAAATGCAATATGTAAATATAAGCTAATAAAAGTGTCCTTTTTTATATTAAAACATGTATTCAAAATAAGAGCAAAAATATTTTACCAATCATGAGAAAATTGTCTTAAAGAGAAAGTACAGGATTAAATAAATTTTTTTTCTTCCCAAAATGCCCGTGGCCAAAACTCACTTGTGGGTCAGGTGTCATAAAAGGCACCTTTTGACCATACTTGGGTGTTGATTAGAAAAATCAACCATTGTGCCAAATTATAATTAAATAAAACATGTCCTAGACAGATGGCCATTTTGGCACAATTGGCATGAACAATGTATGAATTAATGTGAATTGCTTTAACACATGATTTCTGTCTTCCAAGAAACTTAATGTAGAATCCATGTGACTCCTGCTCATCAACTCAACAGTAACTGTGGGTCTAGATTAATCACTTTGTTTATCATTTGCCAATTGCTCATTTAGATGCTTTAGAGACAGGGAAACAATTTAGCTAAGCAATATTAAATAAATAGTCCAAGATCACAATAAAGAAAATAAAAATGATAAATCTTCAGCTTCTAATATTTTGCACAGTTAATAGAGCAGTGCAAAAAATGAATTCCTATAAGGCTACTGAAACAAATTCATCATAAAGTAAAGGGGTACCTTGGTTGAAGTAAATAAATCAGGAAATCTATGGTAGCACTTAACATTTATGATGAAATTTATGAAGTCATAAATAAATGGGAAACTTCTGTTAGGTGGCTTGGTCTTATTTTTATTTTATTTCTTTAAAGCATAAGCTGCTTTAAGTTTTTTTTAGAAGTAAGTGGAGTTTAAATGCAAGAGTTTGCATATCCGCTTTTTATGCCTCACACTTCTTGACTTATGAATATATTTGACAATTGATTTTAGAAGAGGGAAATGACACCGCCCTAGGACTTTGGAAATCTTGGCTTTGCCTTTAGCTTCTTCAGCAGTCAGCTATATTCAAAAGCAAAACCATTGATTCTCCATAATCAATTCTGTAAATTAACAGGGTTAGATAAAAAATATTTGGATCCTATGCATCATATAATTGGTTATTCTGTTCATGTTTTATTTAGTTACATTAATAACTGGAATTGAGAGTGCAAGAGTAAGCTGACCGATATTAAACATCTCCATGAGAACACAGCTATGTGAGTGAGAACATCAAATATTGTGCATGATATAAAACAGTGCTCAATAATTACTTAATTAACTAGTGGTTCTAGGCCACCCTAAGAGCTTGAAGTGATTTGGATATTTCACATGGAATGATGAGCTTTGGGCACTTGGATAAGATCTGGGAAGGCTGTACCCAGGCAAATAGAAGGGGCTTTTCATTTGACCATCTGTCCAGCCAGAACGTAAAGATCTATTTGGCTCATTCCTGGCTGATTCAGCTTATGGCTTTAGTTTGTTACTTTTAACTAATCAATTTCCTTTTCTTTTATTTTGAGCTATTTTCACCTGTATCAAATTCTTTGCTGTGATAGGTAGCAAACGAGGAGAACAGTGTGAGTTACTTGATGGTTTACTTTCCTTGAGTTTTATTCTTCACAGGGAAATTCTTGACTAGAGAGAATAAGGCACCCATTACTAAATCTTAGCAACAAATTGGATTGGCTATAGACAGTGCCTACTTTAGCAGCTGGACATCTTGTGATGATCCAATATGGTGGTTCATTTTTGAGGCTTTTCTTCTAAAAACCTTCTCCATAAAAAGTGATTGTCATTTAAAAAACCCCATTAAAATATAGGCAAAGAACATGAACAAACACTTCTCAAAAGAAGACATACTTGCAGCCAAGAAACATATGGAAAAAAAAAGCTCAACATCATTAAATAAATGCAAATCAAAACCACGATGAGATATCATCTCACACCAGTCAGAATGGCAATTATTAAAAAGTCAAAAAAACAACAGATTTTGGAGAGGTTGTGGAGAAAAAGGAATTCCTTTACACTGTTGGTGGGAGTGTAAATTAGTTCAGCCATTGTGGAAGACAGTGTGGCAATTCCTCAAAGACCTAGAGGCAGAAATACCATTTGACCCAGCAATCCCATTACTGGGTATATGCTGAAAGGAACATAAATCATTCTATTATAAAGATACGCATATGTATGCGTTCATTGCAGTATTATTCACAATAACAAAGATGTAGAATCAATGTAAAGGTTGATCAATGATAGACTAGATAAAGAAAATGTTGTATATATACACCATGGAATACCTTGCAGCCGTTAAAAGGAACGAGATTATGTCCTCTGAAGAGACATGGATGGAGTTGGAAGCCATTATCCTCAGCAAACTAATGCAGGAACAGAAAACCAAATACTGCATGTTCTCACTTACAAGTGGGAGCTGAATGATGAGAACACATAGACACATGGGGGGAAACTACACACACTGGGGCCTGTTGGGCAGGGGGTGGAAGGAGTGAGAGCATCAGGAATAATGGCTAATGGATGCTGGGCTTAATACTTAGGTGATGGGATGATCTGTGCAGCAAACCACCATGGCACATGTTAGCCTATGTAACAAACCTGCACATCCTGCATGTGTATCCCTGAACTTAAAATAGAAGTTGAAGACAAAAAGTGATTGTCAGCCTGGGCCCTTGGAAATATGAAATAATGAAAGTAGCTAAGTGCAGTTGAGTGAGAAAGGAAACAAGACGAGAGATCCCCAATTTGCCTAGATATAAGTAAGCATTGTAGGTCTTTCACCAATTAAATGATCTTAACAATTTAGAGTTATGATTGAAAATTCTATTGGCTAGTACTAATAAACTTTTTACAAAAGTAAAAATTTTACAGGAGAAATCATATGGTCTGGCTGAATCTCTTTTTCTGTGAAGTTTCTGAAAAATTGACTAGCAGTTTTATTATTTTAGATAAGTATACTCCATTTTGGAATCTCATCTTAAAATAGTAATGGAAGTCTTATTTTGAAGTCACAGCCGTAAAGACACACTCCAAGCAATTCTCACAGTGCTGAGTCTCCCAAATGAGTGAGCATGTGGTGTGTGTAGCTTGGTGGTGAGCAGATGAGCAGAAACGTAACTTAGCTGCTCTAAGCAATCACAAGGAAAGATATATTATAAATATTCAATATTTGATATGCAGTTGAATTTTATTATGCATTCATCAAATCATTGCTGTGCCAAATGCTCCAGTTTGGAAACCACAAAGAGAAATAAGACATTGATTCTTTGTCGCAAGCTGTCTCTGATGTTCATGTACTTTGACTGCCGTCTTCAAAAGGCATATAGATAACCAAGAAATTCTTTGTTATAATATGGAATATAAAGCACAAGAGTTACAATGGGAATAATATGTGCAGGAGAGCCTGTCTCTTCAGTGGAATCATGGAGGAGAAGGAAGCAGGAAGTAATCATTTGTCGGTTCAGCTAGTTAATTTGAAATAATGACACATTGAAACCATTATTTCCCAATTAACTAAGACTTGAAAGAAGAAAGTCAACTAACTAATTAAGGTTAAGAATAAAAAGGATATACTCATTATTAATGAATGAAAATGAAATACCTTAAATGGCCCATAGGGACAGACAAGGACATGCCTCTTCAAAGAAGATTGTAAGTTCTACATAAGAACAGCCACTATCTTTATACACTACAGAATTAAGAAGGAAGACTGTGGATTGACCTTAAACACTGTAATGTTTTTTAAGGAATTGCTTTGGATTTTTTTTTCAGCAGTTTTAAAATAATTTTTATGTATCTTAGAATAGAAGAGGTGAGGATTGAGGCTATTTATAAGTCATATATAAAACAAGACATGAGAGGCTGGGCACGGTGGCTCACACCTGTAATCTCAGCACTTTGTGAGGCAGAGGTGGGCGGATAACGAGGTGAGGAGATCGAGACCATCCTGGCTAACACGGTGAAACCTTGTCTCTACTAAAAATGCAAAAAATTAGCCAGCTGAGGTGGCGGGCGCCTGTAGTCCCAGCTACTTGGGAGGCTGAGGCAGGAGAATGGCGTGAACCTCGGAGGCCGAGCTTGCAGTGAGCCGAGATAGTGCCACTACACTCCAGCCTGGGCGGCGACAGAGCCAGACTCCATCTCAAAAAAAAAAAAAAAAAAAAAAAAAAAAAAAAAAAAAAAAAAGACATGAGATTAAAAAAAAGACTGGAGTGAGATGGAATGAGAGAAGGCACTATTTAAAAGCTAAGTTAACTCTGAGCTTCCTGGAAGCCAAATTTTAAAACCTAAAACATTACTCCTTATCTTTAATTTTTCAGTCAAAAGAATAAATAAATTACTTGTGAGAAATAAACTTTTTATGCCACAGAATTCCAAATCAAAGTCCATATACAGATTTATATATAAATTATTTTATTAAGAATTAATTATAAAATGATATTTACATAATGTTAGGTTGGTGTAAAAGTAATTGTGGTTTTTGCCATTACTTTTAATGCAAAAACCACAACTACTTTTGCGCCAACCTAATAAAAGCTTTGCCTTATTTGATAAAGCTTTTGAATCTTTGGAAGCATCTAAATTAATCATTTTTCTATTCAAGAGTATTGCTTTCCTTTGTTTCTGGCCTCTTAGCTGCATGACTATCAGTCAGTGACTTCTCACAGCCTTAGTCTCTGGATCTACAAAATAAGTATCCTGGTGCCTTTCTCAAGGAATGGTTGTAAAGATTAAAAGAGGTAATGCACCAAAAGCAAAATCTCTGAAACAGTAGTTGTTCAATAAAGCTAAGGTGCTTCAGTCTTCATTGTCATTGTCCTCAACATCATCATCACCATTTCTACCATAACACTTCCAGAGACCTGCAATGTATCTTCCAATTGTACATGGTAGATGGGGGGAAATGAAGTCTTATTTCAGTGCAGCTGGCCGCCCTGCTTATCATAGCATTACATGTATTCAGGAGTACCTAGAACATAAATCATTAAACCAGCAGTAGTCCCTGATAAGAACTACATTAGGTTTTATGATGTCAAGAATCTGAAGCTACCAGAGGAAAGCTGATTTATAGTTCTCTCAACACCTGATTTTTTTAAAAAAAATTGGTTTTTCAATTTCGATTTTCTCCTTTCTTTTCTGACATGGTGGAGCTTGTACGTGCAAGAATAATGTTAATTGACTGGAGTAGGAAAAACAAGAGAAAGTAAATCAGAAAATATGTATAAAGGATTGACCAACACTAACACACTGGTTATCTTTCTCATTTGTCCTTTTGCAGCTGTGAATTATTTTTTCTTGTTAAAGAGGGAGAAGATGCTTCCAGAAAAAAAATTAAAACCATCTGACTACATTTTTAGGGTGTCTCTGGAGATTTAAGGCTGAGATTTGAATTTTTTTTAAGTTACTGAGTCCTTCAAGTTTAGGAAGTGAGGCTTTAGAATACTCTCAAATTAGTAGTTCAAATTCTCTATGTAGCTTTTAAACTAGCAAAGTTCTTTGGCATTGCTCTTAGCAAGTAAGCAATAGATGTATATGTCTCTTTTTATGTTTGGTCAGAATAAAAGACATGACTTTGGAATAAAATATTTATTCTCTCTAAATATCCAAGTCTCTCTTTTGTATTTTTTCACGTTTACCTTTTTTGTTTGCTTGCTGAATTTGTAGAGTTTTGTAACCCTGACTATACTGTCACATTAGGCAAATACATGCCATTAGTGGTCAAAGTGTAGATGAGGGATATAGATAAAGAAACAAATATAATAAGATAAAAAAAATCAGATAATCAGAAAAAAGCCCTTTATAATACTGCAAAATGAGTGAATTAAACAATCATAAATGACTTCCAAGATTAAAAAAAATTATCCTGGGTTAGCATCCAGAAGTGACTGGGGAGAGAAAAACAATAAACAATGAGCTGTGCTCAGGGGTTTCCAATAGATTTAGTGCCGCTCTCAAGAGTTCATGAGTGGAGAACATTACCACCACCACCACATTAATTGTCCTGAGTCCCTGCTTCTTGCGGTTGCAAATCCTATGGGCCATTGAGGGGACTAGTGGGCTGTTCACATCAATCATCAGACAGGAACGGAACAAACTCCAAGGTGATGAATTTTTTAGTCTACAGGTAAGGTAGTGGATAATGATAAACAAATGATGTCTTCTCCAAGAGAGAGAATATTTCTGCTGGAGTCTGTGCTCACATGGATGCCTTGTGCTTTTTGGACCCCCTAAACAGTCTCCATCTTGGCAGTCTCTTGCCATGCTCGATCAGCTGGTTTTTTGGAGGCAATGGGCATTCTTTCTTAGGCAACGTCCAAGTGATCGTCTATTAGATTGGTGCAAAAGTAATTGCGGTTGTTGCCACTGAAAGTAATGGCAAAACCGCGATGACTTTTGCACCAGTCTAATAGCTATACTGGCTCACTGCTAACCTCCCACCATCTTTTGTACTCATCGCCGTTCTTTTTAAAAATGTAGACAAATTATATTTTTCCCCTCAACTTTTTTTCTCCAGAGGTGTTTATTTCCTTTAACTTTCCTCCTTTGGAACCCCGTTCTCTTATTTCTTAACAACTGATCTAGATTGCTCATTCAAACCAGGGCTGAAAATCAATCAGAAAAAGCAGTTCTGTTTCCCTTGAAGAAAAGGCTTACTTTTTAAACTATGCAAAGGTGAAAGGGGGAATATTTGCAGTCCATTCGTGGTAAATCAATTATAAAAATAGCTAGTATTTATTGAGCAACTACTCTGTCAGTTACTTGTTCTACATTTCATAGAACTTAAAGTTCTACAAAATAGAATTTAAAATAGAACTTGGCTGGGTGTCGTGGCTCACCATTGTAATCCCAGCACTTTGGGAGGCCAAGGCGGCCGGATCACAAGGTCAGGAGTTTGAGACCAGCCTGACCAACATGGTGAAACTCCTTCTCCACTAAAAATACAAAAATCAGCTAGGCGTGGTGGTGCGCGCCTATAATCCCAGCTACTCAGGGGGCTGAGGCAGGAGAATCACTTGAAGCTGGGAGATGGAGGTTGCAGTGAGCCAAGATCATGCCACTGCACTCCAGGCTGGTTGACAGAGCAAGGCTCCGTCTCAAAAAATAAAATAAAACTGAATACTTAAATACTTATTTAAGTATTACCCCCCTCATTATGCACCATTAGTCCTGTCACTGAACCTGCTATTCAAGACATCAGCTTTCCATTTTTTGGGCAAGGACATAAGAATTAGTCTGCATTTCTGCTAGATAACTCAAGTTTTCAAGACTGACTGGTAGAACACAGACTAGTTGATTTTTATATACAGTCTTGTCTCAGAATAATTCTAAGACTTCTCTTTTAGAGTTTGGATCTACTAATCGTATAGATAATATTTTGGTCATGCTAGTTCTTAGAGAGCAAGGAAGGGACCCAACTGTTTATATTTCTCCTAAGAATAATTAACAATGGGCTTATTATAACAAAGGGCTTTGTGGGAAACAAATTAAATGGCTGTCACAATGGTACAAGCCTGAACTTATTGATTGAACAAACTGAACGCTGTCTGGAAACGCTGGATTTCTGTCTGACCCTGAAAGAATTAGTTATCTTCAATCCAAATTGCATTTTGAGCTCTCTGAAATCACAAGAAAAAATACTGTTTCTAAAACTAAAGTAATCCACGTTCTTATCTTAAATCTCTATTTCTAAAATCACCAGGTTTTTCCCACTTTTTAAAGTTAATTTATTCTGACAAGAAAGCCCCGGGATTTCAGAGCTACTGAGATGTAATGATAGACACTGTGATTTTTTTTAAAAAATATGTTACTATTTGTTCATGCTTGAGTTAAAAAAATTAGTCAATGGAATGCTAGTTAATTTTTGGATATTCTGTCTTTCAGTAACAGGTGTCATATTTGAGAATATAACATCAGTGATTTTATCCAACTGTATGTTTCTACATCTTAAAATGTTTCCTGTCAATGTTATTTCACTTAATAAAAACAAACTATTTTTATTCTAATGAAAAACAGTTTTGATGCCAAAAAGACTTAGTCACAATGTAGAAAACTCAGACATCCTAAAACCTGCTGATTTTCCCCTTTCTGAATTTCCATGCTAATTTATTATACATACATCTCTCTAGGAAGTTTTAATTAGATATTAAAAATTTTGACATTTGACAAATATTGGGATAAAACTATTCATTTTCATATTTAATAAAGCTCTTATACATTGGCAGCTTTTTTATAAACTTGACATTTAAAGGAAGTAATATTTATATTTGGAAAATGACAAGCTTGACATAACTGGATCCTGGTGAAGAGGTAGCTAATTGGCATAGACTGTGGTGGATCTCCTGCTGAGTGCTTGGATTAATAAAAGCTTTCTTTGGTGTCAAAGTAATTCTCTGGTGTCCTTAAATGCAACTGTTTCTTAAAAATCTCCAAAGATTTTAGTGTTGAAATAGTTCTCTAGTACTTCTAATGCTGCTGACAAAAACAAAACAAAACAAAAATACAAAAACATAAAACAAAACTTTTAATTATAGAAACTTTCAAATGTACGCAAAAATAAGCAAACAATCAATGAAACTTCCTGTCCCATCACCCAGCATCAACACCATTAACCAGTCATGACTAATCCTGCCCCATCCACGTCCCCAGCCTTTCCCCGACTTCTCATATTTGCTTTGAAACAAATCCCAGATATAATATCATTTCATTGTGAGGTTGTTGTGAGGATTAACTAAAAGCATGCCTATCATATGGGTCTCTAAAAGATGAGTTCCCTGTTACTCTCACCATAATTACAATGCCAATATCACACCTAAAAACTAATAAACTCTTAGTATCACAGAATTTTGAGTCAGGGTTCAAATTTTCAATTATCTCCAAATTTATGACATAGTTTAACATGTTTTTCTAACCTATCTCTGTAGTTTCTGTAAGTCGGAAGTTGGATCTAAACTCTGGATCAAGATTCTGTTTTGTGTTTTTGTTCTTGTTTTTTATTGATGAGATTATGTCATAGCTATATTCGTTCTTCCTTTGAGGAGGCATATAATTTCTCACTTTCTTTTTTGTGATGCAGTTCACGCTTAATGTCTAGATCCATTTGCTCATTATTAGTTCAGATGTTCAAATTCTTGATTTATTACCTGGAATACTTCTACCAAGAGAATTTATGGAATTAAATAATTTTGTATGTTTTAATTCACTTTAGTTCTTATTAATGCCTGAATTGTTCCAACTTAGACCAGTGGGAGCCTATTCAAGTTTTATTCTGAGTTTTTCTATAGATCTAGTAGTCTTTAACAGCTTTATTATTATCAGATATGATAAGATGGTCCAGACTTATCTTGTATATTTCATGACTCAGGCCTGAATCAGCTATTTCTTCAATGACCCTTAATTCCTTTCAGAAGGAAATAGTGTTTAGAGATGCACAATCTGGGCACTAGGGTTGTCCATTGCTACTGGGTTGGTTGGCTTCCTTCCTTCCTCGCTTCCTCCCTTCCTTCCTTTCTTGAGACCAAGTCTCACTCTGTCACCCAGGCTGTAGTGCAGTGGCGTGATCTCAGCTCACTGAAACCTCTCTGCCTTCTGGGTTCAAGCGATTCTCCCACCTCAGCCTCCAGAGTAGGTGGGATTACAGGCATATGCCACCACACCCAGCTGATTTTTGTATTTTTAGTAGAGATGGGGTTTCATCATATTGGTCAGGCTGGTCTCGAACTCCTAACCTAAAGTGAGCCAGACTGGTCTCAAACTCCTGATATCAAGTGATCTGTCTGCCTCGGTCTCCAAAAGTGCTGGGATTACAGGTGTCAGCTGCCGCACCCAGCATCTTGGTCATTGTTTCTAAGCCTCATTAACACATTAGAGTTTTTAAACATGTTTATCTTTTTCCCTTATGTTATTTACAAATTAAATATCAGCTGTTTGTTTACATGTACATTTTTTACTTGTAAGACTTGCTTGACCCAGGAGAGATATAAAGCAGCGTACATTTCACAAGAGTGTTCATTGGCACAGATGAAATTAGAAGACAGCATTTCAAGCCATATTAAAACATTTTGCAACAACATCTTATATGTTTAAAATTCTATGTCTCATATTTGAACTACAAATAAATAAGCAATCTTTTGAGTTCAATTTCTCCTGAAAATCATTTCTAATAAATAGATGTATATGCTGGGAAATACACAATAGCTTAATAATTATGTGAATATATTAGTGAATTAGAATCCACTGGTGAATTAGTCACCATTTTTCTAATTAGAGTGTGAAATCTTAATTTTTTGGAGTCTGATTAACTGATAATAGCTATGTCATGATGTTCATGCAAAAACCTGTCTTGATGAGCATTGCAATATAAAAAGTACCAGTTAATAAGCAAAATGAAAACAAAAGAAAAACAAGTACTCATTATTTTCCCTTCAAAATTTTCTGAGCACCTGATAAAATATGACAGTGAAACTTCAGATACATCAACAGCAAAATTAGTATTACCAGATATTGTCTTAGCTTTTTGTACAATTAAAGGCTCAGAAAAAAATGTATGCTGAAGAAGAGTTGAATCTGGATATCCACAACTAAGAAGATAGACAACTGAAGCAAGTTATTCAGTTTATTTAGAAAAATTAAAAAAATTAATCAGTTTTTCATTAAACTTGACTTGTATAATATGCATAACATCAAGTATTAAGCCTGAACTCTTAAGTATTGTAATTTCCAAAAAATCCTGTTGGGGTGGGAGTAGGGGAATGACTGTGTGTCACTAGAAGCTTTGTAAAATCATAGAGTATAGCAGTAGAATAAATTCTATTCAGCCACAGAAAAAAATGAGGCAGATCTATGCTATGGAAATCTCCAAAGTTTAGTACAGTTTGTTGGTTAGATACATGGGCTGTGGAGCAAGTCTTCAATCTTGACGCTATTAGTACAACCTTGAGCAAGCTACCTAATTATTTTAGATCTCAGTTTTCTTAATCTGTAAAATAAATGTTATAATAATATATACCTCTGAGGGTTGTTGTGAGGATTAACTAAAAGCATGCCTGTTGTATGATAAATATTTAGACTAGCTTTCTCCTCCTCTTCCTCTAACCCTCTTCTTCTTTCTCTTTTTCATCTTTGTCCTTCCGCTTCGCATTTTTTTATCTTACATCATCATCATCTTGCTGAATAAAAACTGGAAGCTTTATATAATTGTTTTTAAGGCAGGATCTATTTGTGTTAATCAAAGCATGTTGATATATATTTACGTATATAAGCTTATATACTTACATCCGTAAACATTTATGGACAGTTACATTAAAAACAATTAAGAAGAGCTTACCTCTGGAGAGCAAATCTCTTAAAGAAGGAAAGGGGAGAGAGGCAAACACTTGATATATTATACTTTCTCTTGTTTTAGGCTTGAACTTTGTATCTCCATGTATTTTTTAACTAAAAACAGTATAAATTTAAAAATAAATAATGTAATATATTTAATAAATCAGCTATATTTGGTCTTAATGATGAGGCCAGCCTAATGAAAGATGGACAAAATAGGTGCCTAGATGAAATTATTCAAAGTACTTATATATGGCCACTTCTCTAAATTATCTTGTCTACTTGCCCACTTAATTCAATGAAATTCTTCTACTAGAAGCTCATTCCTTGGTGTTAATATTTTCCCTTTTTACAGAAAGAAAAATAAATTAAAAACTTTTGGAGAAGTTAATTTAAGAGAACCATTAGTTATTGGCATTAAAATATAAATTCTTTTTTTAAAGTGGTCTTCCAGCCCATAATATATATCTGCTACACTGCTCTCTGATAGAATGGATGTTCAGATTGTTGGAGAGCCAGTGAGTTATGAGATCAAGATAAAAAAAAAAAAAAAAACTGGGGTGAAGCATACTGAAATGAGATTGCAAGGTGTCTACAAACGGAAGGTTTTCTGATCCAACAGTCTAGACTTAAAATCTCAGCTCTGCCCAATGAAGTGATGTGTAGCCCTGAAAAAGTCACACTTAACTTTTCAGACACTTTTCTTCATCAATATAATTGAGACAAAAAGACTCACATTTCATGGAGGTTTGTAAGGACCTAATTCAGTATTTGAACTTGCCTAACATGAGCCTCCAGTATACTGTTCATTGTTATTTTAGTAGGAGGGAAGCAGCGTCCAAGGACACTCCTGGCTAAATCACTAAACAACTAAGCGAACTTGGCTTTGCCATTTATCGTTTTTGTATCTCCAGTTACTCATATAAAAGCAGAGCTGGGTTGTGAATGATCATTAAGTTTTCCTGAATCAAAATTCAATGACTAATTGTTTGATAGTATTGTACTCTAACACAGTCTCAAAATTTTGTCACCTCAAGAGGAACTAACTGTAACCCTAACCTTTCTCGTTGTTGATTTTTTAAGTCACTTGGTCTTTATAAAAGAAGAACTCTTGATAATAAAAATGCTCAATCCATTAAAAAATAACATATAACTGCCACTACCTCTTAAATATTTAATTGTTTAGTATTTTAGAACATTATAAAACCACCTAATGGTTTACCTAATTTATCTGATAATTTATAATTATTTGCCATAATGATACATTGCACAGTATGTTTTCATCTGATGTCTGCATTCCAGACTTAAAAGTCCATGCCCTATTTTCAACCATGTTTCCCTTTGTGATAAAATTATCTTTCTCTGTAATAAAAATCATTTTTCCTTTTAGGTTATAATTTAAGAAATTACATTTTCTGGTTACACATACACACACACACACACACACACACACATATGTAATGTTTAAAAATCTACCACAATGATTTTTAAACTATGTAATCTTTCATGTCTATCATTTATTATTCAATAAATATTTATGGGATGCCTCCCCTGAACAAGGCCTAATTTCAGAAACTTTGAAGGATAAATGATAAGTCATACAAAAATCTAACACTTAGAAAGTTTTAAGTCTTGATAATGAGATGAGATGCACATATCTCTATCTCCACCGCTATCCAAAGTAAACTTCAAAGAAAATCATGAATTTTTAATGAAACAGAATTATTTTGAACAGACTATTAATTCTTAATTTAAGCTGTGGTGCTGAATCATATGACACTGTATATTGCCTGCACTGGTTGAAAATCATAATCAAGTAAGGAGAATTTGCCTAAAGAGTGCATAGTTCATTTAATACAGTAGTCATGATATATTAATTTTTATTCTCTCTCTTTTTTTAAACTCAGAGTACTCACTAATCTTCGCAGTGTTCCTGTAAACAGAAAGAAGGCAGGTGGCACTAGATATTTTTTCTCTAATCATCTTTTCCTGCTGGACCTAGAGTGGCTGAAAATGACAATTTGCTCTGTAAATATTTTTCTTTGAACATTTTTTTTTAACTGCCAAGTGACCTCAGCATTACCAATAAGGGTTTTGTTCAGTGACGTTTAATATTCAATTACGGAAACATATGTCACTTTAATGTCTAAACTTCATCCTTCTCATAAAAAGTTTGTGGAGCACAGAAGGAAAACAGAGCATTTCTAGGAATTAACTATGTCACATGGAGGAAGTAATTATATTCCAGTAGGTGTATTTTTTCATCATGTTTGCAGTAAATTATGTCCACAGCAAGAATGCCCAAAGTAGGCCGGGCATGGTGGCTCATGCCTATAATCCCAACACTTTGGTAGGATGAGGCGGGCGGAACACGTAAGTCCAGGGGATTGAAACTAAACCCCGTCTCTATAAATAAATAAATAAATAAGACCAGAATGCCTAAAGTATCTATAGAAGGCCTAATTAATCAATATATGAATTGGTGATCAGTTCTGCGTTTTTGGCGCTACATTTTTGCCCTTTGCCCCTAGGATTCAAATGCAGATTTCAAGTTTTGGTAGATAGTCATAGAAAATAGGAGCTCCTACTTTCTTTTTCAAAACCAGTAATTCGCTTTCATTGTATGCAGAGCAAAAGGAATCCATGATGAGTCATTGCTATTTTAAAGAGAAGAAATAATCACTAGATAGTAGTATATTCATTGTTGATATATTAAGCACTTTGGATGCCTTCTTTGTACAACCAGTCTTATTTAATTAAGCATAATGATTTAATTTTTTTTTTCTTCTGAGAGTGATCCCCAAAGTATCTTTATAATCATTTTCAGTTAAGGTGAACCCTTTAGTTGCTAAAGAACATGCTTGCTGAATTTGTTTCCCCACAGATAAGTAAAATATGCCTTTCTGTGTTATTATTCTGAAGGTAAATTAACACTTAAATAGGGCATATTCGTGTCACCGATAGAGAGTCGTGACTGCAAGTTGCCCAGGTTCTTGGTGTTTTGAACAAAGAATTGGACAAAATGCTCAGCGAAGCAAGGAAAGAATGAAGCAACAGAAGAACGAAAGCAGGGATTTATAGAAAACGAAAACACACTCTATAGTGTGGGTGCAGACCCGAGCAGTGGCTCAAGGGCCTGTATAAACAATCTTCTTGGGTTCAAATATCTCCTAGAGGTTTCCCATTGGCCACTTCATGCTCACCTCATGTAACTGAAGTGGTAGCCCGCAATCAGTCTGATTGGTTGCAGAAAGCAGCCAACTAGAGGCTGAAATGAAGTTACAAAGGTCACATTCCTGTGCAAACATCTGATTGGTTGCAAAACATTAAACCAAGTATATGGCCCTTTTTAGTGAAGAGTCCTGTGAGACTACGTAGGTCTCTTGCCTATGGTGCCGGCCCGAGAGTCACCATCTTCTCTCTAGGTCTAACTATCCTCATCTCTCAGCCTCTGGGTTAAGGCTTTTTCTTTAGTGAACTGGAATAGACCAACAACTCCTAGAGGTCAGAATTTTACCAACCAGTATAAAGCATAGCCCTGGTATTCACGAGGTGCTCAGGAGAGAACCTATCCAGCCTGCCGTGCTTTTTCCCTCTTGTGGAATCTGGACTTGTTTTCTCTTCAGTCCATTTGCTGCTTAATCGTGTACCATGTCATGAAACCTCATGGTTTTTGTTGAATTGGAATCTTGGCTCTCTAATATTGTTTTACTTTTTATCTCATCTCAATTGTGTACTCCTTGATAAGAGTCCCTTTCCTAGAATCATTATATCCCCTACATACTAAGCATAGTATCTTTTCATGTGAGTTAGAGAAAAAATTTTCTTGTATAACCGTTGACAAAATTAATTAGCAACGCTAAAACCAATGAAAACACATTACTCTTAGTTCTTAGAGTATTAAAGAATTCAGTGTTGACTTTCAAACTATTATCTTTGCCTTATTTGTTAATGTATTGTAATTGAAACTAATTAATTTTAAATCTAAGCTTTAATCATGTAACATAACATTTCCTAGAGTGTGTTCCATGGGATATTGATGAGCATTATGTAGGTTTCTGTGATCAAATAAGTTTGGGAATATTTTAGAAAATAATAATATCACTAACACTGTATTGATTCCTGTTGTCTTTCCCATTTCCACTGCTGCTGCCTTAGGCAAGGCTTTCATTAGCACTTCCCTGAGATGTTACCCCCACCCTACCTCCAACTGTCCCCATCTCTGTCAATTCACTTTAGTTCAACTGGACTCATCAGTTGCCTACTGTGTAATCACTGGTACCTGTGATCTCACCAAAAGTATCTGTCCTAAAACTCGTTTTACATTTGTAGTTCTCAACTGGGGGCGATTGTACCCTCCAGGAGACTTGGCAATGTCTGTAGACATTCGTGGTTGTCACAACTCAGGCTGGAGCAAGAGATGTTATTGAAGTCCAATGGGTAAAGGCCAGGGATTCTGCTAAACATTCTACAATGCACAAGACGGCCCTTGAAACTAAGAATCAAACACCTCAGAATATCAATACTATACTGATTATACCACTGACTTCTTGGAAACTGTCATTGGTTTCCATCTCATACCTAAGGAATTTCATAACCTCAGGCATGATATTCAAAGGCTTTCACAATCTGACAGTAGCCTTCCTTTCTAGGCCATTTTCCACTAGTCCTTTCAATTCATATTACTCCCCAGTCTAATCAAATGACTCAGTCCTCCTCTGACACAACCTGTACTTCCCTACTTTTCTGTTCTGTATGATATCCTTTTGCCTATGGTGGGATGCCCTTCCCTCTTGTTTACCTATAGGTTACCCCTGTTCCAGGTCAAATGTCACTTCCTCTAGGAAGTCTCCTTTGATTTTCTTCTTACTACTCCCCTAGAAGAGTGATTTCTCTCTTCTTTGGACCCCCTTAGCATTCTATTTCCCTCATATTTGGCACATGATTGGCACAAAAATTTTACAGATCTTACTTTTTTTTTTTTTTAATTTAGTCAGAGTTTTGCTCTGTCACCAGGCTGGAGTACAGTGGCGCCATCCTGGCTCACTGCAACCTCTGCCTCCCAGGTTCAAGCGATTCTCCTGCCTCAGCCTCCCGAGTAGCTGGGACTACAGGTGCACGTCACCATGCCCAGCTAATTTTTGTGTTTTTAGTAAAGACAGGGTTTCACCATGTTGGCCGGAATTGTCTCGATCTCTTGACCTCGTGATCCACCTGCCTCAGCCTCCCAAAGTGCTGGGATTACAGGTATGAGCCACCGTGCCCAGCCCTTACTTCTAATAAACAGTAAATATTTGAATGATAGCATCATTAACAACAACAACTTTGTGTCCTGTAAAGCTTTTAATAGATGTGTTCCATAAATACTTAAATTGAATTACATTATTTAGTTTAGAGAAGAGATTTCCAGCTCAAACTTTATCATTAGCTTTAAATTTGTCTATGTATTTAACAAGAATTGAGTTTCTGCTGTTAGTAATAACTTTATTTTAAGAGATATCTTCTTCTGGAAAGAAAAGCTTTAGGCTTAATATAAAACTGGCCACAACTGAACTATAACCACAAAACTATTATATATATTATACTATTACAACTCCTTTGATAGTTAACGAAAGGATTCCGATATAATAGCACTAATGGAATGATGTTAATATTTTTTGTTTAAGGAAATAATCACTAATGTTAGTTAAGTGATTTCTGACACAAATTAAAAAAAAAAGCTGTCTCAGACTTATTCTTTAAAGTATAGGGAAATTGATTGGCTTGTAATTGGAAATTCAAAGGTAGGGTTAACATCCTCAAACTGCTGGCTAAACAAGTTTAGCATCTCTTAAATATAGATTTTAGAAAAAGAGGGAAAGAGTCATTACCAGATACTTTGGAGGGAACATCAAGAAAGAACTTTTCCAGAGCTCCTAGCAAAGCACTTCTCATGTCATCGATCCCATTTCTTTATAAAATTTTTTGTCATTTGGCCTTTTTAATTTTTAAATTATTTTATTTTTAATTGACAAATAATTGTATATATTTATAGGATACAAAGTAATGTTTTGATATATGAATACATTGTGGAGTGATTAAATCAAGGTAATTAACATATCTATCATATCTTTTTGTGGTAAGAATATTTAAAATCTATTACTTTAGCAATTTTGAAATATGCATTACTATTAACTACAGTCACCATGCCGTGCAACAGATCACTACAACCTATTCCTCCTGTCTAATTGAAACTTTGAGCCCTTTGATCAACATCTCCTCTTCTCCTACTACTCCTCTCCAGCCTCTATTCTACTCTCTGTTTCTACGAATTCAACATTTTTAGCTTCCATATATAAGTGAAATCATGTGGTATTTGTCTTCTGTGCCTAGCTTATTTCACTTAGTATAATGTTCTCCAGGTGCATTCATGTTGTCACAAATGACAAGATTTCCCCTTTATTAAAACCAAATAGTATTTCATAGTGTGTATATATACATTTCTTTATTCATTCATCCCTTTGCAGACACTTAGGTTGATTCCATATCTTAGCTTTTGTGAATAGTGCTGTAATAACACAGAGTGTAGATATGTTTTCTACATACTGATTTCATTTCCTTTGGATATATGCCCAGAAGTGGGATTGCTGGATCATATGGTAGTTCTATTTTTAATTTTTTTTAGCAATCTCCACAGTGTTTTTGATTATGGCTGTGCCAATCTACATTCCCACAAACAGTGTACAAGGATTCCCTTTTCTCCACATCCTCAACAACACTGATCTTTTGTCTTTTTTGATAGTAGACATTTTAAAAGGTGGGAGGTAATATCACATTGAGGTTTTGATTTCCATTTCCCTGATGATTAATGATATTTAGCAATTTTTCGTATAACTATTGGCCATTTATATGTCTTCTTCTTTTGAGAAATATCTGTTCAAGTCCTTTGCTTATTTTCTTTTCTCTGACTATTTTTTTCTTTCTTTTTTTTCCTTTGTAGAGTCTCGCCCTGTTGCCCAGGCTGGAGTGCAGTGGTGTGATCTCAGCTCACTGCAATCTCTGCCTCCCGAGTTCAAGCAATTCTCTTGCCTCAGCCTCCCAAGTAGCTGGGACTACAGGCATGTATCACCATGCCTGGCTAATTTTTTGTGTTTTTAACAGAGGTGGGGTTTCACCATGTTGGCCAGGCTGGTCTGGAACTCCTGGCCTCAAGTGATCCACCTGCCTTGGCATCCGAAAGTGCTAGGATTACAGGCATGAGCCACCACAGCTGGCCTCTTTGCCTATTTTTAAAATCAGATTATTTGTTTTCTTGCTAAGGTTGAGTTCCCTATATATTTTGAATATGAATATTTTATCAGATGTATAGTTTGCAATTATTTTCTCCCAATTCCAAGATTATGTGTTCATTCTGTTGTTTACTTTGCCATGCAGAAGCTTTTTAGTTTGAGTCTATTTTTGTTTTTGTTTCCTCTGCTTTTCGGGTCATATTAAAAAAAAATCACTGCCCAGATCAATGTCAAGAAACTTTTTGCCTATGTTTTCTTCTAGAGGTTTTATAATTTTAGGTTTTATATCTAAGTCTTTAATCCATTTTGAATTAATATTTGTATATGGTGTAAGACAAGGATCCAATTTCATTCTTCTGCTTCTGGATATTCAATTTCCCCAATATCATTTATTGAAAAGACTGTCCTTTTCTAGTTGTGTGTTCTTGGTACCTTTTCAAAGTTTAATTGACTGTAAATATGTGGATTTAGTTCTGAGCTCTCGATTCTATTCCTTTCATCTATGTTCTGCTTTCATGCCAGTTCTATTTTGTATTGGTTACTGTAGCTTCGTCATGTATCTTCAAAGAAGGTAGTGTGATACCTTCAGCTTAGTGCATTTTGCTGAAGATTCCTTTGGTTATTCATGGTCTTCTATGGTTTTTTATTAGTTTTGAGATTTATTTAAGGAAAGAAAAACACACACACACACACAACCAAACTCAGGAGGCTGCTTATTAATAGAATCTACCATATCTTTAAAATAAGGTTTTCCTTGTGTCATCTCTGTGAATTTAAACCTATTTTAATAGCTAAAAATGGACAGTTGGATAACATATTCTTCATACTTTTTATATTTTTAAAAGTTAATAAATCACCTATTTATTCTTTTACTCAGATTTGGATAATTCCAAATTTTTTGATTAATGTTTAAACTTTAATTATTTCGGTTTCTCATCTCTGTTCACTGTTCTAAATTTCTCTGCACATTTTAAGCATGAGGAAGCTGACAGTGTACACAAATACCCTCCTACTGGGTGCATGTCTTCTTGTTAGAAACAAAACAATCAAGAGATTTCAATAAGCTTTTCAATCTTTTGTGAGGAAATTATTTCAGCCCAGTTTAGAATTTCTGTATTTTTCCTCCCATCTTGGGTTACTTGTTAGACTCTATACAAGTGTGTAAATCTTGATTGGAGAAGACACTGCTGATGGTGCACATGATTTATTATAACCGTGAAATTAAGTCCTGGGCCACATGCCCAGTATCTAAACTAAATCAAGGAGGGCTTAATTGAAATTAGGCAGTGAGCCTGGAAGAACTTTACTTTGTTCATTCTCAAGTTTCCAAATCCACTGGATTCATGTTTCATAGAAATCTGAATTTGGGGGTCACAGGAAGAGAGAAATTTAATATTAAAAATATACTGGTTATACATAAGATTCTGTAGCAAATGAACCTAACCAGGAAAATATAGGTTCAAGGAGTAGGAAATATATGTCCAGCATATAATGGATACTTTGTAAACATTGAATGGTAGGATACTTTTCAGGTTAAATTATGTACAGTGTTAGAAAATATTTGCAATACTTAATCAGAATATAGAAAGATCAGGAAATAATTCAGCACATTTAGAATCTTTATTTCAAATGAGAACAGCAGGCCATGACAGAATATAGACCTTCATGATTCTACAGACGATAAAATTCTGTACTTGGATTGTTTTTTCAGGAAAAAAAAATATATATACTTTTAAGCCCTCTATGACTCAGAATTTTAAAAGTGGGAATCTATTAAGTCTCATTCTACTTTAGTCTCTCATTATAATGGAAAACTGGATTAAATAACAGAATACTTTCAACTACTTAGTGATAAATACTGTGCAATAGGTTGTTTTTATTCTTTCAGATCATTCCCTGGAGACACCAGTAACCTAACTACTTGAGAATTAGCATAGAGATGTGATGTTAAAACTTTGAAAATCAAATTCCTATCACGAAATATTGGGGATAATAGACAGATACTGAGTAAGAACAGGTAAATACTGCTTAATTCTACCCGTAATTCTGTTTAAATTTTCAAGTGCTGGGAGATTTGGAGTCTTGGAGACATGATTCATTTTTAAAAGTCAGGTATGAATATATTCAATTATTAGGGATGGAGTCTTGAATAGAACAGAATGTAAGCAACATCTAGGCACTGAGTTTGAGATGTACAAGAAAAGAACAGCTATCATATTCACTTCAAAGCAAGTGTTTTACTGTCATAATAGATTATACAACTTTTTCAACCACAAACTTTATTCTCAAGTCCATGATTCTTATGAGATGTAACTAAATGTTCTTGTTAAGTGAACTTTTCTCTTCAGAAATACCAAAATACAGTTGTATGATGCATTTTTAACCCAGTTAGTGTAGTAGGCAATGAACCACAGGGTATCAGGAATTAATATTTTCTGAAAATTCCTCCTTCTCACTGCCTCTAGTTTTGATCACACTTGGTCGTGCTCTCTGACGTCCCCAATATGTGCACATCAATTCATTCATTCAAAAAACTTTGTATTGAGAGCCCATCATGTATAGTGTGTTATGTGGAAACAGAGCTAGGTAGGACTAATTTATCTTTGTATTTCCAGTGCCTGAAACATTAGAAGGCCTCAGGAAGTGTTTGCTACCCTAAACTGATTCTTTCACCGCAAAGTATTTGTGTAATTCAAACTCTCTTAGTCCTCGCCTTGGCTATAATGGCCTCCTAACTCATGTTCATTTGCCTACTCTCTCTTTAATTCATCTTAAACACCACTCCCAGATTCTTCCTAAAGCATAACTGTAATCATGTCATCCCCTGCGCAAAAACCTTAATGGCCCTCTTATCTCTTCAGAGTAGTATTCATTTTCCTTCCTCAAGATACTCAGAGCCTTCCACAACTTGGCACCAACAAACCTTTTCAACAGGACTCCTTATCATTTGCCTTCACACATCCTACATGCTAGTGTCAATTAGATTGGTAGCATAGAGTAAGGCAAATTTAAGAGTACAGACTCTGAAAGCTTCGTGACTATGAATCTTGACTTTTCTGACTTGGCACTGTGTGGCCTTGGGCAAGTTACTTGAATTCTCTGTGCCTCAGTTTTCTCACCTGTAAAAGAAGGATACTGATAACTCCTACTGCATAGTTATTGTGATAATAAAATGGATTAATATATGTCAAGCATTTATAATAGAGCTGGGCACATGTTTATTAGGTAGTAGGTGGTGTCTACTGTTATCTGTTTTCCCCTTTAAGCTTTGCTCATGTTGTTTCCTCCATTTGAAAAGCCCAGTTTACTCCTTTACTCTCATTGTTTTATATGCATGTCCAAATTCTACCTATCCTTCAAACTCTCATTTATATGGTTTTTTTGTTTATTTGTCTGCAGTCTATACACTTAGCCACTAAGCTCAATTGCTTCTGCCGTAACAACAGAAAAATTATTCTCATGATAAAAATCATTTTGTTTTCAGATGAAATATAGTAAGCATGGATACAGAAATTTGGGGTCATGGAATAACTCCAATGACAATGTTCATTGTATGCAGGGCAATGCAGAGTGGAAGATTATGAAAATAAAAGTCAGATTTGCAATCTCTGAGCACCTGTCTTAATAATTATAAGAATCAAACTGTCCTTGTGCCCCAGGATCGTGGAGTGATTCAGAAGGTTTTGTAGTAAAGTGCCATCAGCATTCTTTATTTTGTGGTCAAAGAGACATTTAAATATGCCTTTCTTTCACCTTGAGAATTATGGCCCATTCTTCAAACACTCAGCATACCGTTAAGCAGTTTATGGAGTGGAACATTTTTGATTCACTGAGAGGTGGTTTGTGAAGAAATTTTTAGCCATGAGTTTCCAGTTATATTGGAACCCATTTTTAACAGGCTTCCAACAGGAGAATAAAGTAGAGACTTCCTGGTGAGATTTAGCAGACGGGACTGTTCTGCTGTGCAGAATTATATCTTCCCTCTCATTGCTTGAGGACTCCAGGGTACTGGGCTCCAGTGAAAAGCAAACAAAGTGTTTGTCCAGAAGAAAGAAATGGAACGTGTCCTAAACAAGTTTTTTGATTGCAGAAAAAGAAATCAACTTTAAGAAATAAGCAAAAAGGAAAAAATTGCAAACACATTGATAGAATCAACAGCTGGTTATAAGACCAGGCTCATGAATGAACTGGATTAAAAAGAAACATGAGATCCTTGGAAGCAGGAAATACGGATTTATCTGTTAACAGAAACTATCCCATTGGCAAGCAGTACAGTGAATTATATTCAACTGTTACTTTCATCCTTGCACTACTGGATCAAGATTTTATCTCCTGCAAGTGAGACTCTCTTTATGACAAGTCTAGG